>NC_000013.11:80700715-80853556 GCF_000001405.40 Homo sapiens
ATGAACTTTAAAGTAGTTTTTCCCAATTCTGTGAAGAAAGTCATTGGTAGCTTGATGGGGATGGCATTGAGTCTATAAATTACCTTGGGCAGTATAGCCATTTTCATGATATTGATTCTTCCTATCCATGAGCATGGAATTTTCTTCCATTTGTTTGTATCCTCTTTTATTTTGTTGAGCAGTGGTTTGTAGTTCTCCTTGAAGAGGTCCTTCACATCCCTCGTAAGTTGGATTCCTAGGTATTTTATTCTCTTTGAAGCAATTGTGAATGGGAATTCACTCATGATTTGGCTCTCTGTTTGTCTGTTATTAGTGTATAAAAATGCTTGTGATTTTTGCACATTGATTTTGTATCCTGAGACTTTGCTGAAGTTGCTTATCAGCTTAAGGAGATTTTGGGCTGAGATGATGGGGTTTTCTAGATATACAGCAGTCATGTCATCTGCAAACAGGGACAATTTGACTTCCTCTTTTCCTAATTGAATACCCTTTATTTCTTTCTCCTGCCTGATTGCCCTGGCCAGAACTTCCAACACTATGTTGAATAGGAGCGATGAGAGAGGGCATCCCTGTCTGGTGCCAGTTTTCAAAGGGAATGCTTCCAGTTTTTGCCCATTCAGTATGACATTGGCTGTGGGTTTGTCATCAATAGCTCTTATTATTTTGAGATACGTCCCATCAATACCTAATTTATTGAGAGTTTTTAGCATGAAGGTTGTTGAATTTTGTCAAAGGCCTTTTCTGCATCTGTTGAGATAATCATGTGGTTTTTGTTGTAGGTTCTGTTTATATGCTGGATTACGTTTATTGATTTGTGTATGTTGAGCCAGCCTTGCATCCCAGGGATGAAGCCCACATGATCATGGTGGATAAGCTTTTTGATGTGTTGCTGGATTCGGTTTGCCAGTATTTTATTTAGGATTTTTGCATCGATGTTTATCAGGGATATTGGTCTAAAATTCTCTTTTTTTGTTGTGTCTCTGCCAGGCTGTGGTATTAGGATGATGCTGGCCTCATAAAATCAGTTAGGGAGGATTCCCTCTTTTTCTATTAATTGGAATAGTTTCATAAGGAATGTACCAGCTCCTCCTTGTACCTCTGGTAGAATTCGGCTGTGAATCCGTCTGGTCCTACACTTTTTTTGGTTGGTAGGCTATTAATTATTGCCTCAATTACAGAGCCTTTTATTGGTCTATTCAGGGATTCAACTTCTTCCTGGTTTAGTCTTGGGAGAGTGTATGTGTCCAGGAATTTATCCATTTCTTCTAGATTTTCTATTTGCATAGAGGTGTTTATAGTATTCTCTGATGGTAGTTTGTATTTCTGTGGGATCAGTGGTGATATCACCTTTATCATTTTTTATTGTGTCTATTTGATTCTTCTCTCTTTTCTTCTTTGTTAGTCTATCAATTTTGTTGTTCTTTTCAAAAAACCAGCTCCTGGATTCATTGATTTTTTGAAGGGTTTTTTGTGTCTCTATCTCCTTCAGTTCTACTCTGATCTTAGTTGTTTCTTGCCTTCTGCTAGCTTTTGAATGTGTTTGCTCTTGCTTCTCTAAATTGTGATGTTAGGGTGTGAATTTTAGATCTTTCTTGCCTTCTCTTGTGGGCATTTAGTGCTATAAAATTCCCTCTACACACTGCTTTAAATGAGTCCTAGAGATTCTGGTATGTTGTGTCTTTGTTCTTGTTGGTTTCAAAGAACATCTTTATTTCTGCCTTCATTTCATTATGTACCCAGTAGTCATTCAGGAGCAGGTTGCTTGGTTTACATGTAGTTGAATGGTTCTGAGTGAGTTTCTTAATCCTGAGTTCTAGTTTGATTGCACTGTGGTCTGAGAGACAGTTCGTTATAATTTCTCTTCTTTTACATTTGCTGAGGAGTGCTTTACTTCCAACTATGTAGTCAATTTTGGGGTAAGTGTGGTGTGGTGCTGAAAAGAATGTATATTCTGTTGATTTGGGGTGGAGAGTTCTGTAGATGTCTATTAGGTCTGCTTGATGCAGAGCTGAGTTCAATTCCTGGAAATCCTTGTTAACTTTCTGTCTCGTTGATCTGTCTAATGTTGACAGTGGGGTGTTAAAGTCTCCCATTATTATTGTGTGGGAGTCTAAGTCTCTTCGTAGGTCTCTAAGGACTTGCTTTATGAATCTGGGTGCTCCTGTATTGGATGCATATATATTTAACATAGTTAGTTCTTCTTCTGGAATTGATCCCTTTACCATTACATAATGGTCTTTGTCTCTTTTGATCTTTGTTGGTTTAAAGTCTGTTTTATCAGAGACTAGGATTGCAACCCCTGCCTTTTTTTGTTTTCCATTTGCTTGGTAGATCTTCCTCCAACCATTTATTTTGAGCCTGTGTGTGTCTCTGCATGTAAGATGGGTTTCCTGAATACAGCACACTGATGGGTCTTGACTCTTTATCCAATTTGCCAGTCTGTGTCTTTTAATTGGAGCATTTAGCTCATTTACATTTAAGGTTAATATTGTTATATGTGAATTTGATCCTGTCATTATGATGTTAGCTGGTTATTTTGCTCGTCAGTTGATGCAGTTTCTTCCTAGCCTTGACGGTCTTTACAATTTGGCATGTTTTTGCAGTGGCTGGTACCGGTTGTTCCTTTCCATGTTTAGTGCTTCCTTCAGGAGCTCTTGTAGGGCAGGCCTGGTGGTGACAAAATCGCTCAGCATTTGCTTGTCTGTAAAGTATTTTATTTCTCCTTCACTTATGAAGCTTAGTTTGGCTGGATATGAAATTCTGGGTTGAAAATTCTTTTTTTAAGAATGTTGAATATTGGCCCCCACTCTCTTCTGGCTTGTGGAGTTTCTGCTGAGAGATCAGCTGTTAGTCTGATGGTCTTCCCTTTGTGGGTAACCCGACGTTTCTCTCTGGCTGACCTTAATATTTTTTCCTTCATTTCAACTTTGGTGAATCTGACAATTATGTGTCTTGGAGTTACTCTTCTTGAGGAGTATCTTGGTGGTGGTCTCTGTATTTTCTGAATTTGAATGTTGGCCTGCCTTGCTAGCTTGGGTAAGTTCTCCTGGATAATATACCACAGAGTGTTTTCCAACGTGGTTCCATTCTCCCCGTTACTATCAGGTTCACCAATCAGATGTAGATTTGGTCTTTTCACATAGTCCCATATTTCCTGGAATCTCTGTTCATTTCTTTTTATACTTTTTTCTCTGAAACTCTCTTTTCGCTTCAATTTATTCGTTTGACTTTCCATCCCTGAAACCCTTTCTTTCACTTGATCGAATCAGCTACTGAAGCTTCTGCATGCGTCACGTAGTTCTCATGCCATGGTTTTCAGCTCTATCAGGTCCTTTAAGGACTCCTTTGCATTGGTTATTCTAGTTAGCCATTCATCTAATCTTTTTTCAAGGTTTTTAACTTCTTTGAGTTGGGTTCAAACTTCCTCCTTTAGCGCGGAGAAGTTTGATCATCTATAGCCTTCTTCTCTCAACTCGTCAAAGTCATTGTCCGTCCAGCTTTGTTCCGTTGATGGTGAGGAGCTGCATTCCTTTGGAGGAGGAGAGGCGCACTGATTTTTAGAATTTTTAGTTTTTCTGCTCTGTTTTTTCCACATCTTTGTGGTTTTATCTACGGGGGGGGGGTCCCCTGTAGGGGGGGATACCCATCGCAGGGAGTGCAGGCACCCCCCGCGAGGCAGGGATTGAGAGCCAGCCCCTCTTCCCCCCCGGCTCTTAGGACCCCCCTCGCACTGGGGGTAGGCATCTCCCGCGAGGTGGGGACTGAGAGCCAGCCCCTCTTCCCCCCCTGGCTCTTGGGACCCCCATCGTAGGGTGGGAGGCACCGCCCGCAAGGCGGGAACTGAGTGCCAGCCGGTCTCCCCACCCCCGGCTCTTGGGACCCCCATCACAGGAGCGGGAGGCACCCCCCGTGAGGGTGGGGACTGAGAGCCAGCCCCTCCTCTGCCAATGACTGTTAGGAAACCCATCGCAGGGTGGGGAAGCACCCCCTGTGAGGCGGGAACTGAGAGCCCGCCCCTCTTCCCCCCTAGCGTAGGACCCCCATCGCGGATCCTAAGATCTTTAGGACCCACCTGGAGGACTGTGGGTATTAGGTGTCCAAGAAGAAAGCTCAAATCTGTCAACGGCAGGTACCTTACTAGGGATTTACTCTCCCACAGGGTTCCGAAGGCAGCCCGGGAACAGAAAGAAAGCAGGTTATTTGCAATCTACCGGAGCCTAAGGGCATAAGGCAGGTGAGAGAATTCTTAGGAGCTGTGGGGTTTTGTAGACTGTGGATCCCAAACTTTGCAGTGTTAGCCAAGACTTTGTATGAGGTCACAAAGAGGGCAGGGACCGGGAACCTTTGGAATGGGGATCCCAACAACAGCAAGTCTGTCATGAGTTAAAGGAAAAACTTCTGGCAGCCCCAGCCCTGGGGCTACCCGATCTGACAAAGCCTTTTCCATTGTATGCGTCAGAGAGAGAAAAGATGGCAGCTGGACTTTTAACCGAAACTGTGGGGCCCTATCTGAGGCCGGTGGCCTACGTCTCTAAACAACTAGACAGGGTTTCTAAAGGATGGCCCCTTTGTTTGAGGGCCGTGGCAGCAACTGCCCTGCTAGTAAAAGAAGCAAATAAGCTGATTCTTGGGCAAAACCTGAACATAAAGGCCCCCCCATTTTGTGGTGGCTGAGATCCAGCCCCTCTTCCACCCCTGGCTCTTGGGACCCCCATCACAGTGTGGAGAGGCACCCCCCACGAGGCGGGGACTGAGAGCCAGCTCCTCTTCCTCCACTGGCACTTGCGACCCCCATCACAGCGTGGGGGAGGCAACCCCACTAGGCGGGTACTGAGAGCCAGCTCTTCTTGCCCCCTGGCTCTTGGGACCCTCATTGCAAGGGTGGGAGGCAACCCATGCGAGGTGGGGAGTGCGAGCCTGCCCCACTTCTCCCCGGCTCTTAGCACCCCCATCGCAGGGGGGGAGGCAATCCCTGCAAGG
Organism: Homo sapiens; assembly: GCF_000001405.40. Taxonomy (NCBI): domain Eukaryota; kingdom Metazoa; phylum Chordata; class Mammalia; order Primates; family Hominidae; genus Homo; species Homo sapiens. The sequence goes on from NC_000013.11 coordinate 80,705,696, forward strand.
TGGGGACTGCGAGCCTGCCCCCTTCCCTCCCTGGCTCTTAGCACCCCTTTCGCAGGGGGGGAGGCACCCCTCGCGAGGCGGGGATGGAGAGCGAGCCCCTCTTCCCCCCCTTGCTCTTAGGACCCGCATCGCTGGGGGCGGAGGCACCCACTGCGAGGCAGGGACTGAGAGCCAGCCCCTCTTACCCCCCTGGCTCTTGGGACCCCCATCGTGGGGGGGAGGCACCCCCCGTGAGGCGGGGACTCAGAGCCAACCCCTCTTCCCCCCCGGCTCTTGGGACCCCCATCGCAGTGGGGGGAGGCACCCCCAGCGAGGTGGGGACTAAGAGCCAGCCCCTCTTCCCCCCCGACTCTTAGGATCCCCATCACACCGGGGGGAGGCACCCCCCATGAGGTAGGGACTGAGAGCAGGGGGGGATGCAACCCCCACGACGCGGGGACTGAGAGCCAGTCCCTCTTCCCCCCCTGGCTCTTAGGATCCCCATCGCACCAGGGGGAGCCACCCCCCGCGAGGCAGGGACTGAGAGCCAGCCACTTTTCCCCCCTTGACTCTTAGGACCCCCATCGCACTGGGGGGAGGCACCCCCGCGAGGCAGGGACTCAGCCAGCCCCTCTTCCCCCCCCAGGCTCTTGGGACCCCCATCGCAGTGGGGGAGGCACCCCCGCAAGGTGGGGACTGAGAGCCAGCCCGTCTTCCCCCCTGGCTTAGGACCCCCATCGTGGATCCTAAGATCCTTAGGACCCACCTGGAGGACTGTGGGTATCAGGTGTCCAAGAAGAAAGCTCAAATCTGCCGATGGCAGGTACCTTACTTGGGATTTCCTATCCGACAGGGGTCCGAACGCAGCTGGGGAACAGAAAGAAAGCAGGTTATTTGCAATCTACCGGAGCTTAAGAGCAGAAGGCAGGTTAGAGAATTCTTAGGAGCTGTGGGGTTTTGTAGCCTGTGGATCCCAAACTTTGCATTACTAGCCAAGCCTTTGTATGAGGTCACAAAGGGGGCAGGGACCGGGAACCTTTGGAATGGGGATCCCAACAACAGCCAGTCTTTCATGAGTTAAAGGAAAAACTTCTGGCCGCCCCAGCCCTGGGGCTACCCGATCTGACAAAGTCTTTGCCATTGAATGCGTCAGAGAGAGAAAAGATGGCAGTTGGACTTTTAACCCAAACTGTGGGGCCCTGTCTGAGGCCGGTGGTCTACGTCTCTAAACAACTACCCAAGGTTTCTAAAGGATGGCCCCCCTGTTTGAGGGCTGTGGTAGCAACTGCCCCGCTAGTACAAGAAGCAAATAAGCTGACTCTTGGGCAAAACCTGAACATAAAGTCCACCCATTTTGTGGTAGCTGAGAGCCAGCCCCTCTTCCCCCACTGCCTCTTAGGATCCCCATCGCAGCGTGGTGAGGCACCCTCCGTGAGGCGGGGACTGAGAGCCAGCCCCTTTTCCCCCCCTGGCTCTTAGGACCCCCATCGCACCGGGCGGAGGCTCCCCCGCGAGGCAGGGACTGAGAGCCAGCCCCTCTTCCCCCCCAGGCTGTTGGGACCCCCATCGCAGGTGCAGGAGGCACCCCCCGTGAGGTGTGGACTGAGAGCCAGCACCTCTTCCACCCCTGGCTTTTAGGACCCCCATCGCAGGTGGGGGAGGCACCCTCCACGGTGCAGCAATTGAGAACCAGCCACTCTTCCCCCACTGGCTCTTAGGACCCCCAACGCGGGGGGGGGGAGGCACCCCCTGCGAGGCGGGGACTGAGAGCCAGCCCCTCTTCCCCCCCTGGCTCTTGGGACCCCCATAGCAGAGGGGGGAGGCACCTCCCGCGAGGCCGGGACTGAGAGGCAGCCACTCTCCCCCCCTGGCTCTTGGGACCCCCATTGAAGGGTGGGGAGGCACCGCCCTCTAGGCGGGAACTGAGACCCAGCCCGTCTTTCCACCCTGGCTCTTAGGACCCCCATTGCAGGAACGGGAGGCAACCCCCGCTAGAGTGGGGACTGAAAGCCAGCCCGTCTTCCGCCCCTGGCTCTTAGGACCCCCATCAGAGTGGGGGGAGGCACCCCCCTCCGAGGCGGGGACTGAGAACCTGCCCCTCTTCCCCCCTGGCTCTTAGGACCCCCATTGCAGGGTGGGGATGCACCCCCCGCGAGGCGGGTACTGAGAGCCAGCCCCTCTTCTCCCCTGGCCTTGTGAGGTGTCATTCTGCCCCTACTGGGGGGTTCCTCCCAGTTAGCCTACTCGGAGTTCAAGGACCCAGTTGAGGAGGCAGTCTGTTGATGCTCAGATCTCAAGCTGCGTGCTGGGAGAACCACCACTCTCTTCCAGCTGTCATACAGGGACTTTTAAGTCTGCAGAGGTTTCTGCTGCCTTTTGTTCGGCTATGCCCTACCCCAAGAGGTGGACTCTACAGAGGCAGGCAGGCCTTCTTGAGCTGCAGTGGGCTTCACCCAGTTCAAGCTTAGCAGCCGCTTTGTTTACCTATTCAAGCCTCAGCAATGGCAGATGCTCCTCCCCCAGTCTCGCTGCCATGTTTCAGTTTGATCTCAGATTGCTGTGCTAGCAATCAGCAAGGCTCCGTGGGCATAGGACCCTCCGAGCCAGGCACAGGATATAATCTCCTGGTCTGCCGTTTGCTAAGACTGTCAGAAAAGCACAGTATTAGGGTGGGAGTGACCCGATTTTCCAGGTGCTGTTTTTCCTCCCTTCCCTTGGCTAGGAAAGGGAATTCCCTGACCCCTTGCACTTCCCGGGTGAGGCGATGCCTTGCCCTGCTTCGGCTCATGCTCCGTGTGCTGCACCCACTGTCCTGCACCCACTGTCCAACAATCCCCAGTGAGATGAACCTGGTACCTCAGTTGGAAAGGGAGCTGTAGACTGGAGCTGTTCCTATTCGGCCATCTTGCGCCCTAGAGCTATGACATTTTCAAGCTACTTTTTCAATTCAATATATTTTATTCCTCTCTGAATCTATTACATTTGAAGTCATTTAAATAATTCTATGCTTTTTTCTTGTCTATTTCTTCATTGCAGTATCTGACAAATGATAATAACCAAATTAAAACCACTTGTGTTTCCAAGCATAAATTATATGAATGTATAATTATGAAATGAACTTATTCTTCAGTTTCATATTCATTGAACTGAAGGCTTCTACACTTTGTAATGCTTTTTTTTTTTTTACAAATCTTATTGTTACCAAATTTCCAGTTTCAAATTTATATGTTTAAGTTTTATTACTTAAGGTTTTGTTGCCTTTTCTCTCTGCAGCTGCAGTCTGAATTAATGTGTTAGTTCAGTCTTATAAATCCCAGATGAAAAGAATGGAATTTTTTTTTTTGTTATTTGCCTTATGCCAGTAGTTCTTAACCAGAGGAAATTTTCATGCAGGGGATGTTTGATAATGCCTGGAGACATCATTAATTGTTACTAAAGTTGAGGAGGGAGGGAAGAGTTGCTACTGACATGGTATAGGACTGGGAAGCTGCTAAACCTCCTACAATGCACAGAAGAATTTTCTGCATCAAAAAGTGATCTGATACAAATATCAATAGTTTCACTGTTGAGAAATCTTCTATATATAATATCCTTGATTTTTCATTCTAAAATTTAGTAAAATGATGAGTTAAATTTAATCATTTTTGTCATTATTAGCATGATGAGGGATGACATGAGCCTCAAAAGTCAAAGGACTCTTGCCTGGGAGTAGAAAATCAAAAGATGACAATAACACATGTGAAATAGTTTAAATTTCAATAAGTTGGAATTAAAACTTTCAGGTGTTGTTTAGAACAAAATCTTGGTTGTCTCAACACAACTGAAAGCTAAGTGCACTTAATTCCAATCGTTTGAATCCCATGGCCTGTGGAAAGATGAGAATGATTAGTGTCCACTTGACAGGCACCTGTGTTAAACAATATCTTAATGCTTTTTTAAAAAAGTGGAGATTTTTATTAAGGCAAGGAGGGAATGTGATTAAAGGGGTCGAGCATACAAATTAAAGGTATTTGAAATGAAAATAAGTTTGGGGAGAAAACAGTGAATATTGTTGAGAGAGAGGTCATCCTCTGTAGAAGGATAATAAGAACATATAGCTTATTTGGGGATGGTCTTTCTGTGCTGCTCATGGTGAGGGGTCAAGGACTAAAGAAGTTTAAATGTTTCATAACTCAATAATGTCATCAAGATACAGAAAATAAATTACTTGGATTGCGATTCCAGCTTTTAAAAATTAGCTGAATTTTTCTAATTGATTATTTCAGCTCAGAGTGGTGGATGACAGAAAGTGAAGGACATTTTGGCAAGTGGCTCGGCATGAAAGAGATAATGGGCATAGTTACATTAATTGTGACTGGAAACATGAAAGATTCAATGCAAAAGCAACTTGTTCCATAACATATTTCTCGCACAGGTTGGCTTCATGATTTTTGTACCTTGAGGCATGCAGAGCAGCTTGAGGGTGCTGGGAAGTTTAAGCTTTTTAGCTATCTTTAAAAAATGGTGACAGCTTTATGAGCTGGAGGAAAATGTTTATTGGGTAGAATTCTCCCTAAGTGGTTAAAGAGAATTTTAGACATTTATCTCTTCCTGGCATCATTCAAGCTTTTGATAACTGGGAATGGAGTAAGGGGAAAAGTCCAATTTTAGGAATTGAATCAGAGACAAGGAAGACAAGGGAACAGGGAGGGTTTCACCATAGGAAAGTTAGATTTGATAGCCCCACTCTAAGACAGGAAGAAGAAGAGTGCTTACATGTAGGAAAAGCACAGGATTTGTGATCACACATCTAGTCCTACATTCTGAACCAGATTATCCAATGAGGTGGATCAGCCCTGAAGCTCTTTCTCATACTGGTAGAATGTGACACTGGAATTAGCCTTCAAGTGGTGCTCCAGGTGTGGACTGAACCTTGAGGGGGCATAACATGGGATAGGGTGGTTAGAGAGGGACTGATATCTTTTGAATACCAATTAAGTGCTAGACACTATCCTAGGCGCTTTTGGCATGCTATTGGATCAATGAGATACATTTTTTTAAGCGATATTTTACTGATGATAAAACTGAGAAGCAGTAAATGGCATTATTTACATGTCTAGCTTTTGGAAAAGACTAAGAAACTCATCTCTGGGAAAATAAGGCAAAGACTGACAATGTGTACATTGTTTGAAGGTTTATTCAGCTTTAAAATGCTTCTGATAAGCCTGCTTTGTTTTTTTTTCCTTACCAGGAGGTTTACTCACATGGATTACTTCTTAGACTACTAATTATCCAGATAGTTGGTTCCTCTTTTTCTCTTTGTGCTTAATTATTAGTATTTCTCTAGAGCTCACTTGGCTTATGTTCTTTTGTTTCTCTCATAGGCATCACACTAATGTCTCCAAGTGGTCAGGTGATGTGTGGTTTGTGCTATCACCTTTAGAAAATGAATCTTAGCTCAACATTCTCCAAACTTTTAGATGTTTTTCAGGACAAAAATCTTTATTGTTTCAACACAATTGAAAGTGAAGCACGCTTAATTTTTCTGTTTAAATATTTATTCCAAAGTGAGTCAATCATATAATAAAAGTGTTTCTGCAGTCATTAAATAGTCATTTAGCAAACAAAAAAAGAAAAAAAGAAAACACATATTGCAGAGTAAGACATATTAAAGACATCAAATATTAAAAGGTGTGTTGTAAAATATTGCAGTTTCACAGTAAGCATAATATTTGTATATAGGTAGCCACTACTTAAGTCAGCTCAAGCTAAGGGATACATGGATGATCTTATTACATTTAAGTATATTCTTTTGATAAAACACTAAATATGTGATATATGCTTTATGTAAAATACATAACTATTTATTCAGACCAGAAAGAAACATGCAATAATTTTAATAATGTAAACACAAAATCTCAAAGAGGAGCTAACTATCTGGAGGAGTTTTAAATAACACTTATTATCTGTCTACCATATTTTGAAAACTGTTAGCATAATTGTTGCAGTAATACAATTGTATTACAAAGTTTACTGATTCATTTACTCTTGGGAAAACTATTCTAGGCACAAAGTTCTATATAGAATGGATTAACTTCATGTATTAGTCTTTTCAGGCTTCTATGACAAAAATAACATAGACTAGATAGTTAATAAACCGTGTAAATTTATTTCTCAAAGTTCCAGAGGCTGTAAATCTGAAATCAAGATGTTGGCAGATTTGAAGTCTGTTGAGGGCTGGCTTCAGAGATGGCCATTGTTCATTATAATCTCACATGGCAGGGGAGAGATCTCTCTGGACTCTCTTTAATAAAGGCACTAGTCCCATTTATGAGGGCTCTGCCATCCACATCTCAGATACCCCACCTCCTAGTACCATTACCTTGAGATCTGGATTTGAACAAAAGAATGTTGAGGAAACACAAATATCCAGTTTGTGGCTTGTTAGGATATTGTTTTTACCCGGTAAGGACAAGGCATATAGTATCTGAGATGGGCTGGGTTTTAGAGACTCTGTAGACAGGGCTGGAGACTGTGGTGAAGTAAAAGCACATGTCTGGCCAATGGTGGCATTAGTTACTCAATTCCTAATGACTCGCCATTTATGAATAGGGAAGCAATGTGACAGATCTCTGCTTTTTTCAGGCAAGATCATAGCTTGATTTTTTTAAATGTGAAATTTTCTTATTTTTAAAAGTTTGTTCTAATTAAAACTGTATCTATTTCCTATTTTCCTTTTTTATGTGAGAAATAAGTATAATATTTCTAAGATGTAAAATTTTATATCATCTTTCTTCTTGACAGAGATTATATGTTGTTTTGCAATTCATGATGTCTACACTCTTAATTTAAATTTATACTTTCCTGAAATCATAACCAGTATGCAGTTGTAGTGAAAAAATACTTAGATGTTTCTGGGCCAAAAAATATAATGTGTTAATACTGAATATAGTATGAAACCTATATTAGTCCATTTTCAAACTGCTATAAAGAACTACCTGAAACTGGATAATTTATAAAGAAAGGAAAATTAATTGACTTATAGTTCTGCATGGCTCAGGAGGCCTCAAAAAACTTACAGTCATGGCAGAAGGCAAAGAGGAAGGAGTTATGTCTTACGTGGCTGGAGCAGGAGGAAGAGAGTGAAGGTGGAGGTGCTACACACTTTTAAATAACCAGAGGTTCTCCATGGGGGCTCTGACCCTGCAGCAGACTTCTGCCTGAACATCCAAGCATTTTCATGCATCCTCCGAAATCTAGGTGGAGGTTCCCAAACCTCAACTCTTGTCTTCTGCATACCTTCAGGCCCAACACCACATGGAAGCCTCCAAGGCTTGGAGCTTGCACCCTCTGAAGCAATGGCCCAAGCTGTACCTTGGCCCCTTTTATCCATGGCTAGAGCTGGAGCAGCTGGGATGCAGGGTGCCATGTCCTGAGGCTGCACAGAGCAGTAGGCCCCTGAGCCCACTCCATGAAACCATTTTTCCCTTCTAAGCCTCTGGGACTGTGATGGGAGGGGCTGCTGTGAAAATGTCTAAAGTGCCCTGCAGACATTTTCCCCGTTGTCTTGGGTATTAACATTTTGCTTCTCTTTACTTTTGCAAATTTCTGTATCCAGCGGCTTAAATTTCTCCCCAGAAAATGTTTTTTTCTTTTCCACCACATGGTCATGCTGCAAGTTTTCCAAACTTATATACTCTACTTCCTTTTTAACATAAGTTTCCATTTCAGACCCTCTCTTTGTGAACACATATGACTGTATGCTTTCAGAAAAAGCCGGGTCACATCTTGAATGCTTGCTGCTTAGAAATGTCTTCTGCTAGAGAACTTAAATCATTTCTCTAAAGGTTAAAGTTCCACAGATCTCTAGTGCAGGGGCAAAATGCCACCAGTCTTTTTGCTAAAGCATAGCAAGAGTCACCTTTATTCCAATTTCCAACAAATTTCTCATCTCTATCTGAGACCATCTCAGCCTGGACTTCATTGTCCATATCACTGTCAGCATTTTGGTCAAAACCACACAACAAAACTCTAGAAAGTTCCAAACTTTTCCACATCTTTCTGTCTTCTTCTAAGCCCCCAAACTATTCCAACCTTTTCCCATTACCCAGTTCCAAAGTCACTTCCACATTTTCAGGTATCTTTATAGCAATGCCCCATTTCTCTCAGTACCAGTTTTCTGTATTAGTCATTTTCATACTTCTATAAAGAACTACCTGAGACTGGGTAATTTATAATGAAAAGAGGATTAATCGACTCACAGTTCCACATGGTTATGGAGGCCCCAAGAAACTTACAATCATGGTGGAAGGCAAAGGGATAGCAAGTCATAGTGACAGGAGAGAAAGAGAGCAAGGGGGTAAGTGCCACACCTTTAAACCATCAGATCTTATGAGACCTCAGTATCACTAGAACAGGATGGGGGAAACTGCCCCCCTGATCCTATTACCTCCCACTAGGCCCCTCTCCTGACACATGAGAATTACAATTCAAGATGAGATTTGGCTAGTGACAGCCCCATGATTGAACAGCACCCATGATGGAAAAAGTTGGAATTCACTTAAAATTGTGTCAATAATCATACACTAGAATTTCATTAATTTCTCAAAAGTAGTTCAGTTTATTGAATCAACTACATTGTTGATTAAAAGTATACCAAAAGGAGTTTTGAAATAGCAAAATGTATCTACCTGCTTCTTTAAAAAATTACCCTTGTAAAAAAGTGAAGAAACACAACAACAAATGACATATTTGCTACAATTTGTCAAGATCTATAATCCCCCCAAGTTTAAAATGAAAATGAGATGGAAAAGGTAAATGATACTACAAAGCAAAAGAAGGTCAAAGGTAAATGCTTACAGAGGGGGATCAAACCAGTAGCTGATTTATTTTAAAATCATAGAAAATTGAATAGTAAGGATAATAAAACATGGAACATAAAGCTGGGGAGAAGGGCTGGAAACAAGTAGATTATTTGAAATTTTTTATTAGAAGAAGTTAGACCTTCAGATACCTTTACCATATGTGTATAGATTGCTTGCATGTATTCCTTCCCTAGGAGAGATTATATATTTTATCTAGAGAAATTTCACTTGGATTACCATAAAATCAGTTTCTCTAGACAGAGAGGAGGGTAGACATAAATGTCTAAGTAAAAATATGAAGACATATCAATGTCTATATCCTAAACATTAAGACTTATAGCTCCCTTTCCACACCTATGTCACATTTGCTGGTAGCCCAGCAATACAACAGACTGGTAATTAAAAGGTCTTTCTCTGAAGAAGTTTAATGTTCTGGAGAAAATACCTCCACAATCTGATGTTTGGAAATTTCCAAAACATAGGTTGGACATCAGTTTGTTGCCCATTGGCAACATATTCCATACTCTTAGAACTTGTACTCAGCTTTAATGCCTAATTTATACGTGTAAGTTGACAATAAATGGTCACCAGACATATGAAAAAAAAAGGGTCCTATCCCTTCCACTCGATCATATTAGAATAGAATGCAGAGTTCTTTGCTTCCAATGGAGGCCAGATAAGTTTCTACTGGACCAATCTCTCATTGATATAACTATACACTTTGGACAAAATATTTTTAAAACTATCCAAGGGTATTAGAGAGTAGACAAAAGCAAGCAGGTACTACAGAAGACTTCACACTTGGAACAAAGAATGGCACGAAGCAAGTTTTCCATTTTTAAAGATGTCTTTGTGCTAATTTCAGGCTGAAGTCTGCAGTACAGGGTGATTACTTAAGACTTTATGTTTTAGAAAGTTTTTTTCTTCTATTTAAATATTTTTATTTTTAAGGAAAGGTAGAGTTGCATTTCAGTGAAGCCAGGAAGTCCTTTTGGATAAGAATTTGGAAGGAAAAAATAAATATAATGCCCTGTAAAGAAACTGTTGTGTTTGCATAGGTGTATAAATTATAGAGAAAAGAAGTTAATTTTATGGAAAACTAACTTTATTATTTAATTAAATCAAATAAACCACTATATTATCGTGTGCCATACTCTTCTCTAAATGCTTTACAAATATTAACTCATCTAATTAACCCTATGAGTTCGACACTCTTAAATATACATCTTACACATGAACATATGAAAGTACTGAGAGGTTAAGTAACATCCTCAAGGTATCAAAACTAGCAAGTGGCAGAGCCCTCTTGGGTTCCGTTATGAATAGATTATCCGATAATCTAGCCAAACATTACTCCCTTCTCAATTTCTTTCATAATGTTAATATATTGTGCATCATGGGGCCATGGCAATGTCTCAGTGCAAAGATTATGAGTAGATTCTCCTTTACTCAAAACTTTGATTTGCCTAGACAAGGCTCTTTTACTTTTGGGCTTCAGAACTACTCAACTTGGGGGCATATGACATTGCTAAAGAAAAATTACCCAATGATACTTGCTAAACTATGGTAAGGGAGACTTCATTCAGGACCATGGGGATAGGTATAGGGACCACTGCAATAGGGTCTTGCAGTTGGGGAGTGTGAGTTCAACTCTCAATATAGTGTGGACAAGTGAGAATTCATAGACAAGGTGCAGATTCGGGGATCAGTGGATGAACAAATACCAAGAGGAAACTTCAAGGATAAGGGGGATTCTGGTTAAACTGACCTAACAGGATTTTTGCTGAAGACAGGCTAGAGTGATCAGACATTATTTGGGGGATGGTGGATGACGAAGAACCTGATTAGACATTGAAGATGATCATATATCAAGGATGGGGCTCTGGGATTCTTACTAAACTAACTTACCAAGATTCTTTGCTCAAACTGAATTTTACAAGGAAGTACAGAGATGGGCCTAGGAGAAGTTTCCGAAGACTGACTAGCGTATGGCCAGGCAAATAATCTTTGTTGATGTTTAATTAAAATGCCAGACTATTTTCTATGATAGGTCTTATCACAAATGTACTCTGCACTCCTTTTATATATTATCATTTTGCACTCAACTTGGGCCAGTGACCAGCCTTGGCAGGAGAAAAGGGTTGAGTTCCTGGCAGAGGTTCACGTGACCTCTGCTTTCCTCTGCAGACCCACCAGGCACTTTGCTAGCACATCTACAAATAGAGCCCTCTCCTTCCTCTTTCATCTTAGAGCTCGCCAGCCTTTCATAAGCTTTCCTTTTCTCAGGCCTTAAGAATCTCCCAGATTTCTTTGATTGCTAGTCCCTTTCTGAGAGTCGCTTCTCCACCTCTTCCTGCCTTTTGTCTTTCCTTTTCTGTTTTTTTTTTCTTTTCATCTCTTTCCTCACTACCCTTCACACAGAGACTCAAAGGTTGCCCCACCACTTGGCCCATTGCCAACTTAGCAGTTCTCAGTAATACACTGTAGCTCTCCAGACTGTTTGCTTCAACTGCTTTATTTACATATATATATTTCACCCCCCGACACCACCTCCCGCCTTGGGAGAGCCCTTTGTGGTGAGAAAAGTCAAGTTTATTTTTGTAAAGGGTTAATGTTTCACAACCTTCTTGGTAATATAAGATTTGTGTCAAACACTTTAACTCATACAGATTCTGTATTTCCTTGGCAGGGAGAAAATGTATAAAATAACAAAGGTATCCTATCCTATTCCTCATAATAAACACAACATAAAAATCATATAGTAAATCACAACAAAATTATACAGAGAGAAAGCGAGAAACTTCAGACTAATTTGGTATTAAAATTATAGATTAACCTTAAGGAAAATTAACCTGAATTTCTGAATGCCTATAGTCTAATGAGAAAAAGGTCTGACACCTTTTAAATTTTTCCATATAGTCTCACCTTTTATATATTTTTAACACTAAAATACCTCTGGATAAAAATACACATGCATTCTATTTATATAAAGTATTTTTTCCCTTTAATTAATTCTTGCAATCTACAATGATAGGCAAGTCAGGTATAATTTTTCTCTTTGTTATTGCACTCAGACACTCATGCAAAAATAGTAAAATGTTTTATTTTTATTTTTTTTTACTTTACTGAAATTGGTGGCTTACATCATACTGAGGGGCCCACATGAATATTTGTTTTTAAATTAGGACCATATTCTCAATTCGCTACACAATAAAGGGATTATACATTTAAAAGAACTGTATGCAATCAAGAAGAAATTTTAATTAATCACAAATAGAACTGGCCCAATGGAAATAATTTGACCCGACAGTTTGAGGTTTGATCAGCACAACACAGAGATTAAGAAGACTTTTGACCTGAACAGAGTCGGAGTTGGTTCAAGTCTGGAACTTTAGAAAGGGAACACTAATGGGTTCAAATCACACAATATCATTGTTTCCCATAATGCTACCATCCCATTAGCAACCAGTGAGAAACTTGCTTAGTTTTCTGTAGAAACCATCCAGTAGCATATATAGCTCTTGTCCACAATGAAGCAACAGAGATTACGCCACAACAAACTATACTCTTTCTCTCATGTTCTCTATATGCAAAAACTGAGCCAGCTGCTTTGAAGCACTAATTGACTGTCGGTATCAATTAGGGGCCTGACTGCTTTCTAACTTACATTTATGTCTCCACAGTAACCACATTGGTATTTGGGGGAGATTGGGGGTACTTACTGAAAAGTCCTTAAATATGTACAACATAAAAGAATAACTGAGGTTTTGGAAAAGCTAGTTAGAACAGGGCCCAGCAACTCTTATTTTTTTAACAGCATCTTTGTGTTGAAAGCTGAAAGTTTTACTAAAATGGAATTCTTTATTAGAGTAGCAATATCAATATATAAATAAATGGATTATACAGCAAAAATACCAGCCCAAGAGAAAGAAAAAGCTTAAAAAATAGGAGCACGGAGAGTGAAGAACTCCAATGATGACTTCTGTCGTAAGAACAATAGATTAAAAAAAACATGACGTAGAGTAAAAGGCAGAATATGTGGTGGGAAGAATTTGACTCTAATGCTAGAGAAACACAAGTTTGCTTCTTGCTTGCCACTTGCTAGCTGGTATAACTTTTAGAGACTGAGTCCCAGTTTTCTCGTATGTTAAACTGAGATATTGATGTCACCTTTGCAGGTATGTTGGGGGAAATTAAATCAACTAAAGCTTATAGAAGACAATGAGTCATTTCTGGTACATAGTAGGTGCTCTGTAAATATCAGGTATTATCATCATCATCATGATGTCAGGGCCTGGAAAAGAGAAAATGCAAGTATAATATAAATAATGCCTAACATTGAAAATAAACAAAAAAATCCATCACTTTGAAAAAAAAATGGTAGACTTATTCTGTTACCTCGAATACCAAACTAAATCCATTGCATTGAATTATGATGAGAAATTTAATTCCATAAGAGCAAGTACTTTTCTAACAATTAGAACAGCATGGAATCTGAAATTAACCTGATTGTGGATAACCACCTATCAGATTGTTAGAGATAGGATGATGCCTATATTGAGATAAAATGGACCTAGAGTTTTTATTAAGTAAGATATTTTATAATTATAGTATTTCTCACTAAAAAGAAATATATGGATTGGTGGGCTTCCTGAAATTATTACAGGATAAATATTAATAATTAGAAAGTTCACGGCTATATTATGATGACAGAAAATATAACACTAATCTATAAGAAATGAAATTGGTATAGAATTACAGTAAACAGGGATTAAAATATCTTGGATACTTACTATTATAGTTTGATATTCTGGAATTGTACATGATATACATCAAGGAATAGTAGCAATTAAACATTGAGCCATCAAAATGATGAACAAATAACAATTAAACATAGAGTTTATATAGTTTCCAGATTACTAAAATGAAAGGAGTACTGAAATTTTACTTAAAGCAAATTGTGGCCCTTGAACATTGGTCAGTAACAATTTTCATGTTATATTATTAGAGTTTTGGAAAAGATCGTTCTTTAGAAAATCTGTAAATGTTGCAACAATATGTTTATTGTAAACAAGAAAAATACATAATAATTGCATTCACTCTAAGACTAATTAAAAACTTGTGTGATAAGCCTGTTTAATAAAACTTTACATAATCAGAAACAAGATATTCTGTTCTTGCACTGCTATGAAGAAATACCTGAGACTGGGTAATTTGTAAAGAAAAGAGATTTAATTGGTGCATGGTTCCACAGGCTATACGGGAAGCATGTCTGGGGTGGCCTCTGGAAACATACAATCATGGTGGAAGGCAAATGGGAAGCAGGCACATCTTCACATGGCTAAAACAGGAGGAAAAGAGAGAGATGAGATGGCAAACGTGCTACACACTTTTAAACAACCAGATCTTGTGAGCACCTACTCACTATCACTAGAGCAGCACCAAGGGGGGAATCCAACCCCCATGATCCTATCACCTTCCACCAGGCCCTACTTCCAACACTGGGGATTACAATTGACATGAGATTTGGGTGGGAACACAGATCCAAAAACAAACCGTATCACAAGATGTTTTTGATCCTGTTGGTAGGAAACAACCACAAGATATCAGTGCAGATTATTTCTTCACTTCAGAGAGAACACTTCATTTTAGGGTTCTGAAATTAAGCATGCCATTTTCATATAACAAATGCACAAGTAAAAATGTACCCTGAGCCATCAATGATTCAATCATTAATGATTCAATCAATGAGTCAATCATTTACTGATGATTATGAAAACAAGAGGTAGGATGTTTTAATATATGGAGCATAAGACTAAGTGGTAAAAAATAGGTTCTAGTCATGATTCTGACACTCTTTAGGTCTGACATTGGGAAAATCACTTAAACTCTTTGATTGCAATTTCTTCATTCATTAAATTACAGCATTGGGCAGTATAATCCCTAAGGTCTTCTCAGATTAGAAATTTTTCTAATCTCAGATGAATAAATCTTTGATTACAATCCATTATCCTAACTAGGATCAACTGTTATTAATTGTAATATATTTGTACAGAGATACGTAATTTATTAGAACTCCTACTGAAAATTAATTCCTAACTTCAAAAATGTTATATTGTGTTTCCCTGACAAATCCATGGGTAGGAGATCAGAGCTTGGAAACGATTTCTCTTTTGAATCAAAAGCTTTAGGTTTCTATAACTCACGTATTTTAGTTAGAAAATTGGTGAAGCCAAATCTCCACTCTGATTTCCTGGGCTTTGCCAAAAGGATAAAGAGATTCACTGGGCAAGTTGGTAGTGTCTTTCCCCCAGGACTGCTATAAAGCATCATGGTCTTTGCTATGTAACTTCTCCTGAACCCTTCTTTAAAATACAGAGTCTACTGACTTCCTTAAGTTTAAGGTCAACATTACTCACTGAAGCAACTCCAGATCTGAAGAGAGTTTCCAAAATGCAAAAGTTTATCTGGGAGAAGATAGATATTTTTCAACATAATTTAAACATTACCTCTATGTTGTTCAAGACTGTGATATATTGATTTCCTCATTGTACTTTTTTGTTTATGGATAATAGAGTCATTGAGAGACAGTATTCCTAAACAAAGAGAAAATAAATGGCAATGCAAAATAGCATAGGAAAACTTATTGGTATTTTACAGTTGAAAGATATCTTTTTTTTCTCCAACGTTCTGGCTTAAATTTTTCTTAGTATTTTCTAATTTCTTCTGGTTTAGAATTACTTTGAACTATACTTCACTATAGCTTCCTTCTACAAGACTCAGACAATGCATAAGATTAACAAAAATCTGCTTATTATATTTTCACATGTCCAAGGCCAAACTAATTGCAGGTAACAATAAAGAAACATTGGTATTGACTTAAAAGAGTCATGGTTTACTCTCTGAGTCTGGGGATATTCTCATTGTGTGTGAAGACCCTGGCTTTGCAAAAGAGGGAGGATAATGAATTAAATTAGAAGGGAATAAGGTGGGAATAGTTCTTAGGTAACTACCTGATAGATTTGTTTCTCAGTTGTGCAAACCAGAGAAAGAAAACCTGTGGGATAATTGGTATAAGCAAAGAGCATTATCATCATCCATCTCCCATTCTGAAAACAAGATGTATTTTGAATTGAAAAAACTATCCTCTAGATCTATGCTTCTTAAATTAGTTATGCAATTACAAAAGAAAGCATGATTCATTGAAGTTTAGATGAAATCTTCTGATTTCATAGGATATTGTGAGCCAATTATGCTATTGCTGTTTATATGTTTATAATAGCATAGGATACGCTCTCAGGAACACAATGTATATTATATTTATGTAGTCAATATAATTAGAACCCAGAGAACAATTTAACCCATATTCAATAGGTCTTGATGCCTAGAATGTGGTTTATTTTACTCCTGCAGAATAAAACATAAAAAATGTAGAGCTTCAAATTTGTTTAACAAAGGGAGGATGTGGTTAATCTTAAAAAAATATATGTCACATTATTTTCTGAATTTTATGAAGAGTATTAGGCAGTGATTAAATAAAAGATTGACTGACACTACTTTATACAAATCTAATGCAATTATTCAAACCATTCAATAATATTAGAAGTAGAATGTCCCGTTTAGAGAGCTTTATAAACCAAGCTCAGGCCAGGTGCTTTAGCTAGCCACATTCAATTTTCAATCTCTGGTTGTGCACTTATACAATGCATAAGAATTAGTTGAAAGGATTAATATTTTAGATATTCAATATAGTTTTGTAAATTGATTTAGGTAAAGGACTGTATAACTTTGCATTGAGTTTACTTGCATTTTGGTGTTGTGAAAACACGTAAACATCTCAACATATGTT
Organism: Homo sapiens; assembly: GCF_000001405.40. Lineage (NCBI taxonomy): Eukaryota > Metazoa > Chordata > Mammalia > Primates > Hominidae > Homo > Homo sapiens. Next base: position 80,722,367 of record NC_000013.11, read on the forward strand.
GGTAAAAGAAAAGATAGAAACAATGGTTTTATACCTGGCACTTAGAAGCCATCACATATCTGAATAAGATATCTGAACCCCATTTTTAATGAAATTTTAGCATGTGCTTTTGATACCTCATGTATTTTCCTCAGGCCCACCTCTGATGTGAACTGCAGCTGCATTAGAAAAATCCCATGTTTGCTGATAGCATCCCACATCACATGCTCAACACATATTTCTCTAATTTTCTGCCTCAGGTACTTCTCAGGATTCTGTTCAGCCCACATGGAAATGCAGCCTGAAAGCTTGGAGGGACAATTTTCTGAAATATTCTATGTGGGTCTCGGCTGACAAGATGTAAAAAGCTCAACCTTGTATTGACTCTTCTCCTGAATCTGTCTTACTAGCCCTGTTGCTTCACTTTTTCTCCCTTAGATTGCTTCCATATAAACTACCTGCTTGTTTTAAGCTCCATTTTTTTTTCATGAATGCAAAGGAATATGAAAACTTTTTGAAACTTATTATATAATATTATTTATTCTTTAAACATTTATTGAACACCTATAATGTGCTAGACCCTGTGGTAATTCCTGGAAATGCAAGGAGAAAATGGTCATTTCCTGTGAAATCAGGTAGAATACAGCCCAACAGTAAAACATGACACTAACTAAGTGAAATCATAGTTTAGGGCTATGATAGACCCTCCATGGTGGCACACAGGATGAGAGTGCCTTTTTTGTAAAGTAAGGGGGAGAATTTAGATACGGTGGAGACTACATAAAAGAAATTGAGACTTGAATTAATATAATTCTAGGGCACAGAGCAGGAGAAGGCTAGAAAAAGAAGTCAGAGAAAAGTTAGAATATAAAATAGTCTTACATGCTTGTCCCAGGAAATTTAAGAAATTTTCTAAGAGTATTACCTAGAAAGGTAATTTGGAAAGAGATCATCAAATATCTTATTTCTGGGTTTGTTAGATAAATGAGAATAAATAAATTAATCTATTCTGTGATCCTAAGTTATTTTAACTGAAGACCGACATGTATGTTGAATGTATGCATCAAAACCTGTATACTAAGGTTTATTACCTAATGGAATAAAATGAAGAGCTCAAACACAACTTATTTTGCATTCTGGATGGGTTAGGGTAGCTGAGTAAAGGACTTCAGAGCAGGCACTTTAACGACTTTGGTTTCTATGCACTAATATGTCATGTGGACGTAGCTATTAATACAGAAAGAAGACAAACATATCCTTTATAAAAATGTACAAATTCTCATCTACCTTTTTAGGCAAGAACAATTTCCAAGGCTTGATTGCCTTCTAGAGAAAGACATTTTTACCTTAATTTGACCATAATGTCTTGGAGAAAAGTTTCTTGAAGATGTATACCTATGTGATGGGCATTTTAGTATGTATGTGTATGTGTGTCTGTGTGTGTCCAGGACAAGAATGTGAAAACTGTAGACCATGGGAAATAGGAGATAACATACCTTTACCACACAATGGTGGAGGGACCTCAAAAGGGAATACTCTTGGCAGTCCCATCCTCACAAACCTCGATCACCATGTGTTCTCATTTCAGACTCCAATACTCAAAACTGTGGAAGTTGTACTCCTGTGTGTTTCTGAGACAGTTTTATTTTTCCGGATGAAAAAAGGGTTGTCTGGCCTATGCTAACGCCATCTCTGTTGGTAATACATGGAGTATCCTGATGGATTTGGAAGTTTAAATCATGAAAAATTGAGGGAGGAAGATTAGAGCAGAGTTCAAGACCAGGAACGCTAAGGAAGGGGCACAGCATTGTGGGAAAGGATGTGAGAATCCAGCAGAAGTGCTTACTGCAGGCACGGACCACTGTGGAAAGTAAGGAGTGACACGGGCTGGGCATGGTGGTTCATGCTTATAATCCCAACACTTTGGGAGGCCAAGGCAGGAGGATCTCTTGAGGCAATGAGTTGGAGACCAGCCTTGGCAACATACTGAGACTTCGTCTCTACAAAAAATTGAAAAATTGACCAGATGTGGTGGCATGCGTCTGTTGTCCTAGCTACTCAGGAGGCTTATATGGGAGGATTGCTGGAGCCCAGGAGTTTGAGGCTGCAGTGAGCCATGATTGCACCATTGCATTCCAACCTGGGCTGCAGAGCAAGATCCTGTCTCTAAAAAACAAAATTAAAACAATAAGAAATTTTAAAAAAGTGACAGGCAGGTGCCAAGATATGTGAAGCTCCTTTGGTTTCTGGTTACAATTATTGCTCTCATGATTATATATCTTTATTATTTGCCATGCCCGCTCCTTATTGGTCAGTTGCTAGCTCTAATAGACAAGAAAGATTAGAGAATTATTTACATAAGACCTCACATATAGTTGCTGCTCATTATATATTAGTGGCATCAATATCTAGCTTAGTTATCGATTAAAATAAGTTTGTGATATCTACCTGCAAAAGATAACCAAAATATTCTTATCCATTTAGCATCTGGGCCTCTACATTCCCTGTGTCACTCTGTGCCCCTGCAGCCACAGTGTCAAGGCCTATAGCTGCTCATGGAGTGCTGACAGACTCGCATCCAGCAAGTCTTTGTCTTTTCATACTTAACACATAGAAAGATGGTATTAAATGGATAAATCATATGATTTTAAAATAGCACAAGTCCAGTTTAACTGGGAATGTTTTCCTTGAGGAAGCTTTATTCTTACAAAATTTCAGATAGAGACCATTCTTTGTGGGAACTTACACACTTCTTATAGTTATTTTGGGAACAGATAATTTTCTTTTGTCTCTCGAAGTGACTAGGGAATGAAATATTATACTCTATTTAGCATAACTAAATTAAAAGTGGTGGAATTGTTGGAATGACAGTAAATAATTTCTATATGTATTGTCCATATGTGATATTCATTAAATTCTGCAAGCAAACCACTAAGGCACAGTTGAGTGAAAACACATTTTAATACTTGCTCAACTCCTTACTGTTGTGAAACTGTGAACTTATACCTTTTCTATTATATCCTAATGTTTTTAACACCTAACTCAGAAGGATGATTTGATAATATGAGGAAAACAGCTTGAAATAGTCATGGTTTAATAAATGATGTTGTCTTCTAACTTCCATTTTTGTTTAATAATTTATTTAATAAGATGTCTATTTTTATTATGTATTTGTCAATTTTCTTTTACTATGGTAAGTATAATTTGGATATCAAAATATATAAAATTCCTAACATATTTAATAAGATCTCTTGTTTTATTAAAATCATTTTCAATTTATATATTTCTTAACTTATCCAACAGACAACACTACAGCGTTGAAATTTATACATAGGTAAAGTAAAGCCAGAATAATAAAACGAAGGTGAATATTATTAAATGAGCAATGTAGAATCCAAATTTATTCAATATAATTCCAGAAGACTCCTTTTGGAACAAAAGATGGCAAATATTCATGATTTGTGGTTCATGTTATGTCTTAGACTTGCTAATGTAGAAAATTTGAATATATGACTTGTCAAACATTGATCATATTCATTGTTTTAGCATCTCATAACTGGAAATTTGATGAAATGGTAGTTGAATATGACTTTGATAATGGATTGATATTTTATATCAAGACTTTATTGACTCTAGCTAATAATTAAACACCTACATGCAAGATACTGCATTAAGCACTGTAGAAGATATTTTTAAAAACCAAACCTAAGACATTAAATAAAATTGAAATCACAAAAATCAAAGTTTAAGGGAAAGATACCAGATTTGCACAAGTGTGGATAATTGTAATCATATATGTATTTAGTATAAATTTTGCTTTCACTGATCTATTTTTTTTTTTAATTTTACTTTAAGTTCTGGGATACATGTGCAGAATGTGCAGGTTTGTTACATAGGTAAATGTGTGCCACGGAGGTTTGGTGCACCTGTCAACCTGTCACCTAGGTATTGAGCCCCGCATGCATTACCTATTTGTCCTGATGCTCTCCCTCCCCTCCCCTTCCCCTGACAGGTCCCAGTGTGTGTGTTGTTCCTGTCCCTGTGTCCATTTGTTCTCATTGTCCAGTTCCCACTTATGAGTGAGAACATGTGGCGTTTGGTTTTCTGTTCTTGTGTTTGTTGAGGATGATGGCTTCCAGCTTTATCTATGTCCCTGCAAAGGATATGATCTCGTTCCTTTTTATGGCTGCATAGTATTCCATGGTATATATGTACCACATTTTCTTTATCCAGTCTATCATCCATAGGCATTTGGGTTGGTTCCATGTCTTTGCTATTGTGAATAATGCTGCAATAAACATACATGTGCATGTATCTTTATAATAGAATGATTTATAATCCTTTGGGTATATACCCAATAATGGGATTGCTGGGTCAAATGGCATTTCTGGTTCCTTGAGGAATCGCCACACTGTCTTTCACAATAGTTGAACTAATTTGTGTTCCTATGGGTAGGATCTGTTAAAGCCAATATATAAACTCATTTCAAATAGGGAAATTCAAGGCTCCAGTTTTCTAAGCAGGAAAGCCACACTTTTTCAGATAAAAAATTACTTTTTCAGAAATCCCACAGGAGTTGGAGACAGTGATGCTATTTTGGAAGGTATAACAATTACTGTCACAGAGAATGGTTTTAATTCCCAATAGATGTGGCATTAACACCTTCCATGAAACATAGCAACTGTTTACACCAGTGCATAGCAACAAAACACAACAGAAAGCAAGGACTTGCTTCAAGGTCCAGATCTTTTAAACTTCTATTTTAAGCAAGTTGGATTCATGGAAGTCATTTGCTTGGAACAGTTCTGTAAATGGCAAATAAAACACTCAGTACACATTTGAGTTGCTTAATCTCAGTGTTTGTAGTCTGAACTATGGATTTTAAAAAGTAGTTTGATATTCCCCATCCTACCCAGATTCATTATATATTTACAGCCAGATATAAATTATTTTTTTTCTCTTATTTTTGAAGTCATAATTTTTAACTAGTTTATAAATTTACATTTGAAAAGAAAATAAACATAAAAAATAAGAAAAAAACATGACTAACTCTCCCCCTTGTTACCAAGTCCCATGTCTCATGATCTGATGGAATTAATGACTGTTCATGCTACACACTCCAACCCATTTACAGCTTATAGGAGGCCCTATGGCTAAAGGTGTCCTGAGACCTGCTTGACAAGGAAAACACAAGGTATCTAGGCTGAGGCAGAAAGTTGCATGACCTTTGATTGTTTATTCTTGGGCCATCTCTCTCCTTTCCTCTCTGCTCTGTGTCTTGAACACACCCAAAATTAGGTCTTCAAATTGGCTCTGTGAAGACATTATTGCCACCACCAGTGGACACAAATCCTGCAGTTTTCACTGTGAACCCACTGTCATTAGATGGACTGTGGGCATTGCTTCCAGAACCACTTGACAATTATGTCAAAACCAGGACATGACTGTGACTGCTGACACTGGCTTACCAGACTGAGGTCTGTAAACCCTTGCTTTCCTTGCCTCACTTGTTTCTATTTTAAAATCCGTGAAGGGTGAATATCTGGCTGCTGATTTCATGCATTCTTGCCTTTCCTGCCTAGAAAGTTACAAAATTTCTTGCATTTTCAATTTCAGTTGTGGGAGGTGTTCTTGGTCTCTTAAGGTTAGGGATTTCCTAGGCACAGAAAAATGTAGCCCAAGATAATACCTCTTTTATGATAGAATGGAAAAGAATACCAGACTGGAAGTCAAAAGACAGACTTTACCCCTAGCTTTGGTCACTTCATTAGTGGTTTAACTATGACTAGTTAGTGTTATTATTTGAGATCTTGTTTTTATTATTATAAAATGAGATTGAAGCACATAACTTTCTAGCTCCTGTGTGATACGCTTCTATTATTGATTCTACCTTATATTAATCTGATGTGCTTGTGTACTCCTCCTATCAGTTTCTGTGATCTTTAAGAATGACCATACATTAAGAATTTATCACTAGTGACTTGGTAAGTGAAAGAGTGAAATTAATACTAAAATTAATATACTTACCTCATTTCCATCCATTTTTACTATGGAAATAAATTTTCAGAGTACTCAAGTTGAGAAATATAATAGACTGTTTTTTATTTTACATATTTACCTAAAGTGTTTTGTTTCATAGATATGAACAATACCCAAGAAAAACACACCATTGTCTGGAATGAGCCATCAGAATTTAGAAAGAAACAGAATGAATTGTTTTGTACATAAATTTCCATTTTTTTTCTGTAATTTATCTATGTAACACTTATGTGTTTGTCAGTGTGATGGGGAAGATTGGGGCTTACACTTATATGTCTATCAGTGTGATGGGGAAGATCGGGCTGAATCTAAAAAAAAAAAAAAAAATGACCTTACCTCTTCTCTCTATAATCTTGCTAGGGCTCAAGGATGGAAAATGCATAGAATTTAAGGCAATAATAGTACAGATCACTTTGTGCTGCTCACATGTAGGTTTCAAAACTAATAATTATAGCATGATTTTCCTGGACTATCTACTCTGCTTTTCACACATGAATCATTAGGAGATGTGGAGAACCTCCAGGATTTTTATCCTGCCCATCCATCTCTACCTTTGGTTTGCTTTGACAAGATTTGTGAAAGGGACTTCAGAATCTTAAGCCAATATCTTACTTTTGCAAAGGTAAACCCTTCTGTTGGAAATAGATTAAAACCAAAATATCCAATTAATGAGAATCTAAATTTGGTGGTGATAGGAGATTTTTTTCTTAGGATCAAGATGACTTCCCATTAAAAGATGCGTATGTTTTTAGATTTTAGATTTTACATTGGCAGTGAGTGTCAGACAGATCTGAGTGTTACAGGACTGGCTGCCCAGATTCTATTTCTTTTCCCTTTCCTTCCTTTCCTCTAATCTTCCTTCCTTTCTTTTTCTCTTCTTCATTTCTATCTTCACCAACTTACAGGAGCAAAAAAAGGCAGCTTTGGCAGGATAAACATTAAGAAGGGCTTAATGTTGTACCACCCTGAGAACCATTCTATAAATTACTCCCAAATAAACTCTTGTTTTGTGTGTGTTTGTTTGTCGGGGGTGGGGTGGGGGTGAAGGGCAGTGAGGAAGGGATGAGAAAGGGGATAAATGGAAAAGAATGAAAACTCTAACCATAGTAATCTGTTTGCCTTGTCTCCAGAGCATCCAGAGATGCTTCTGTGGTTGTCTGTCCTGGCTAAAGACTCCCAAATAATATTAGGTAAGTCTGATTTCAGATTTTAGCCACAGGGCATGAATTAACCCACAGGAAGTGGAGTAGAGTTAGTTAACAAACAAAGATAAATGGAAACTCATGCCTGTATCACATGAAGAATTTTCTACCTTAATAATATCAGGTAGAGGAAAAACTCAACGAAGTTAATACAAACCCCAAAACTCATCCTTCATGGAACCACCCAAATTGGAGTCAAGTTTAATAAGAGACAGAGGGAAAACTACCAGAAATAAACATGGCAACTTTGTAAGTGAAACAAAAACTATGGTTGAGATTTTTGGAAAGTGGAAAAAAAAAACTTAGTGAGGCACCGGATCATTGTTTTACACAAAGTCAAACATTTGATATTGCACTCAAATAACAGTCCATCTGGAAGGGAAAAGAAAGAGAAGATCAATGGCAACGTGTTTGTCCTTTAAATAAAGGAGAAAGAGGGCCAATTTTAAAAGCATGCTGAAGTTTACAAATACTATCAAGACATCCATTTAAAGAGGTTAGCAGTAAAATTTTCCTAATACAAGGATACTATTTGCACAGAAGAATATTTGCCCTTAAAGTTATAACAGTTAACTTACTACACAAAATATTCAAATTTGAGGAAATGAGAGATTTATAGGAAGAAGCACAGTTGAAGTTTATATCGATCCACAGAACAACTTGGGCAACAAATACAGGTAACACTCAAATTTGGACAGGAAAAATTTCTACTTCAAGTATCTGTTGTAGAGGGCTTACCAGCTGAGCAGATGTGCAAAAAGGTGTTTAATTCAAAGAGAAAAGTTAAAAAAAAAGGCACTATGGAGATTCCAAGTTATAATATTCTTGCTTGTCAGAACAAAATCACTGGTACCAAGCACTGGAATTTAATGTATCGTTCTGAAATTTACCTTAGAAGCTCAAGTGTTGGTTTTAATGATTCAAGGTTAAATCTCTTATAACTCGTTTGCCCTATCTTGCTGGTTACTTTCCGTCATGAGCCAAAGAAAGTAACTGAAGATGAATGAAGCACCAGAGGAAATTGAAAGGGTCTCAAAAGTTCAAAGAAGAGCTGACGTAATTCTCCTCCTTTCCAATTGTCATAATGCCAAGTTCAGGTTAAGGGTGAAAAGAAGGGCAGAATAACACAAAAACTTGGTTTTAATTTACCTTGTCAGAAATACAAATAACTTATTAATAAGGTAATAGTGGGGCATAGGTGAGGAGAGAACCATGCCATTTAGGTGTTGGTAAGAAGAAATAAGAAAATACAGTATTTCCTAATAATTCATTATACAGGGGTAAAATTTTAATTAAGCAGAATTATTAGAAACTTTTACTGGATTTACATTTTTATTAACTGTGGCTTAGGTAATGTGTATGAATATTTTGCATATATCGGCATAGGTTTTTTTTGGTAGAATTTCAATGTTACTGTATGGGGATTTTCATTAGTAAAATCTTTTAGCATTTCAATTTGTAGTTGAAAACACAGGAATATTTAAAGGAATTGTTGACTTTTAAAAGTGATACTTTGATAAAATGGAATTCTATACTCTAGAAAAATTGTGTGAAATAAAGACAAGGTGAACATATCTGACTGAGAGATTTAAACAAGTGAAGTGGAATCTAATGACTTTTGGCGTAATGTTGAGAAAATTTGTGATATTACTTTCAAAAGCTCCACCTTATTTCATTCGCATTTTATTTTTAACTTTTAGGTTCATGGATACAAATCAGGTTTGTTACATAGATAAACTTGTATTATGGGGGTTTGTTGCACATATTATTTGACCATCTAGGTATTAAGCCTAGTAACCGTTAGTTATTTTTTCTGATCTTCTCCCTCCCCTCACTCTCCACCCTCTGAAAGGCCCCAGTGTGTGTTGTTCCCCTCTGTTTATTTGTTCTCCTCATTTAGCTCCCACTTGTCAATGAGAACATGTGGCATTTAATTTTCTGTTCCTGTGTTAGTTTGCTAAAGATAATGGCCTCCAGCTCCATCCATGTCCCTGAAAAGACATGACCTCATTCTTTTTCATGGCAGCATCCTATTCTGTGGTGCATATATACTACATTTTGTTTATTCAGACTATCATTGATGGGCATTTAGGTTGATTCCATGTATTGGCTATTGTGAATAGTGCTTCAATGAACATACACATGCGTGTGTTTTTATAATAGAATGATTTATATTCCTTTGGGTATATACTCAGCAATAGAATTGCTGGGTTGTATGGTATTTCTGTCTTTAGGTCTTTGAGGAATTGACACACTGACTTCCACAATGGTTGAACTAATTTACACTCCCACCAACAGTGTATATATGTTCCTTTTTCTCCACAACCTTGCCAGTATTTGTTATTTTTTTACTTTTTATCAATAGCCATTATGACTAGTGTGAGATGGTATCTCATTGTGGTGTTGATTTGTGTTTCTCTAATGACCAGTGATATTAAGCTGTTTTTTCGTATGATTGTTGGCAGCATGTATGTCTTCTTTTGAGAAGTGCCTGTTCATGTGCTTTGCCCACTTTTTAATAGGGTTTTTATTTTTTTTTTTTGGTTTTTGTTTTTAAATTTATTTATTTATTATTATTATACTTTAAGTTTTAGGGTATACGTGCACAATGTGCAGGTTAGTTACATATGTATACATGTGCCATGCTGGTGCGCTGCACCCACCAATTCGTCATCTAGCATTAGGTATATCTCCCAATGCTATCCCTCCCCCCTCCCCCCAACCCACAACAGTCCCCAGAGTGTGATGTTCCTCTTCCTGTGTCCATGTGTTCTCATTGTTCAATTCCCACCTATGAGTGAGAATATGAGGTGTTTGGTTTTTTGTTCTTGCGATAGTTTACTGAGAATGATGATTTCCAATTTCATCCATGTCCCTACAAAGGACATGAACTCATCATTTTTTATGGCTGCATAGTATTCCATGGTGTATATGTGCCACATTTTCTTAATCCAGTCTATCATTGTTGGACATTTGGGTTACTTCCAAGTCTTTGCTATTGTGAATAATGCCACAATAAACATAAGTGTGCCTGTGTCTTTATAGCAGCATGATTTATAGTCCTTTGGGTATATACCCAGTAATGGGATGGCTGGGTCAAATAGTTTTCTTGTAGATTTGTTTAAGTTCCTTACAGATGTTGGATATTAGACCTTTGTCAGATGCATAGATTGTAAAAAATGTTCACACATTCTGTAGGTTGTCTGCTTATTCTGTCGATAGTTTCTTTTGCTGTGCAGCTTTTTAGTTTAATTTGATTCCATTTGTCAATTTTTACTTTTGTTGCAAATTGCTTTTGGCATCTTGGTCATAAAACCTTTGCCTATACCCATGTCCTGAATGGTATTGCCTAGGTTGGTGTCTAGGGTGTTTTGTAATTTGGGGTTTTACATTTAAGTCTTTATTAAACACTCTCATGTCTTAATCTTCTCATTATCATAAATAATAAACATTCTACCTGCATAAAGTCCAGACTTTGCTCAAATACACCCTTTAGTCTTCACAGTTCCTGAAGCCCCTTTCAGTCTTACTCCCCAACAAATCCCCTATCAAGTAGCTTTATTTTATCCAACATACCAATATTTGGTGATTTCTTCAGGCCAGGCAATATCCCAGAGACTGAATAATTTGCTGGAGAAACTTGTGAAGCACAGAGGTAGATTCCCATGAAATAAAGGCTTGCTAATTGAAACTGGTGAATTATTATTTCACCAACAAAATAAAACTGATAACTTACTGTGAGATGGATGGTAGGATTAAACTCTGTTTTAAAAAGTAAATTAGATGCAGACAAGTTTGGAAGTAAAGAATGTCATAGGAATGAATGGGTCCTATTTGAAGACTCGACGGACTCTTTTTCATTTCTCGTCTTCCTCCCCTACTCTGCAGGATTCTATTTATGTGCTCAGCCCTTCTGTGACATACTCTTTCCCCTTGGTTTCCATGAAGGAACACTCTTCAAGTTCTGCTTTGACAAACTGCATTAAAAAAAAATTTTTACCTTTTATTTCCTAACTCCTTAAACACATGCATTTCCCCAAGTCTTCTCCTTGCCCATAATCTCATTCAATATGAAGAATATAGCTAAAACTCTATCAACTCAATTTACTACAATCTTAAGTACCTAAGTTTCCCAGGCAACCCATCTCTTTTTATTTTCATCCTCTTATCTATCCAAATTCAACTTGAAAGCCTTATAATGTCTTATTCTGTTTGGCTCTCCAACATGATTTAGTGGAGTTTAGCATCAGAATTAGTCAAGTCTGCAAAAAGTTTCTTAAATATTTCTCCTTATCTTAAAAATCCAATGCTGCACATAGTCTTGTTTGGCCTATATTATTTAGTAATATTTTAGGGCATGTCACCCAGCATCAGTTTCTCTCAATAACCACCCGATCCTTTGCGTTTCATTTTACTTGTGGTTTTAAAACACTTTTCCTAAAGTTTGAGTCAGATACTGTCATTTCACTGCCCCTCAACTAATGCAGAATAGACTGTATAAAGAGATTGGTAAAGGCCAATCTCTTTGGCCCAGCATGTAAGACCCTCCATTGCTCTGCTAAAGTTCATGGCATGATATTTTATATCATAGTATTTGTGCACATGTCTTTCATATCCCCAAACTGTACTAGTTTCCTGGAAGACATGTTCCATATTTAATTCATCCTTGTTTTTTCCGAGTAACATAATGCCTGCTTTGGGTTGTTACCTAAGGTGCTTGTATATGTTTGTTGAATAAACAATTGTGTTTGAAAGTCTGAGCCAAAAGACCCCCCCACCCAATCTTCCCTTTCTTCTCCCCTTCTTCATTTCAGTAAAAGAGTACATATCTTAAAGTAGTTCCTTTCTTTTTTTAAAGGGTAAATTTAGTGATTGTCTTTAATTAAATATATTTCTTCTGGGGGGAGGTGAATGGCAGTTCTTTTGTGAGATAGAAAGGTCTTTCTAGCCTTCTAAATTAGAATTTGGAATTAATTTTCAAGTTAGGAAAAATGTATATGTTGGTTAGGTGTAGTTAAAGTAAGGCAATTAACACAATATTTCAGAGGTGGGGAAAGAAAACATTGAGGACTATTTTGAGAACCAAACTACAATTACTGCAATCTCTATAGAGAAATGTTCCCCAAACTTCAAAAAATGATTAATGGTAAGCTTTTTAATACAACATATACATAACTTGGATTGCTAATATGCAGCTGAAATAGATATAAGGAGATTTATTTTATTACAGTGGATATTTGGTTTATAAACAAAAATATTAAAAACCTGCCTTTGGAGAAAAAAGTTGCTTAAAATGCTAAATATTTTATGAATTCAAAACCATTTCTGTCAAATTTTCCAATATGAGTTATATTAAGTCCAATATCCTTACCTCACTTTCAATTTTCTAAGGTTATTATATCTAGCTTAAATATAATATTTTGAATTTCTATGACTTAGCCCATATTTAGAAATAGCTCTTTGCCTACAAAAATAGACTAAAAAGGTAATTGTACCCTTTAAACTTTAAAACAACTTTATCCTGGCTTTTGTTTAAAATTGTGGAAAAAGTCAGAATTAGTTCTTTTTTGGTACAAAGCTCACATCTCTTACCCATTTGCTAGTTTTAATTTTGTTTTGTTTTGTTTTGTTTTCTTTGAGAATATCAGAAATACTTGGCATCAGTTTTGTGAATAACTTTCCAGATGTTGCACCACTGGTTATCGGTATAAATGTGCTTGCAGTATTTAATTGGTGCTGTTAATTCAACTCAGGATCCTGTTTATTTTCCTAATTGCTGCCAGACATTGAACGGGTGGTTAATATATTAGAAATCTCCTGTTTTCCTGAACCTTTGCCTTACCCACTGGCAATTTTGTTAGGGAGAAAAATGTGCTTTTCATTTACTTTTCCTACCTTGAAAGCACTTGCATAAGCTCTGGCAATATCTTATTCTGAAGACAGTACTTGAAAAATGTTTTCCACTTGCATCTTTCTGCATGACAGTACCACCTCATTTCATTTATTGTAAATATGTGACAAACTATTATTATATGCATATTATATAATAGTATTATTCTCATGACAAAAAAGGCACTTTTAATAATTTAACATTGTCAGATACTGACTATGAGCTATGCTCAACAATAACAAAGATTTGGAAAATAAGGGTCCTGTAAGTGGTAGCACACGAAATATGTGAAGTGATCAATAAAAACACAATAAGATAGGTACTGTAGTAGACATGGCCACAGGACGCTATAGAGCACAAAAGAGATGAGGCAGAGTGGCTATCAGAACCTTCCATCTTGTAAAATTTAACGAGATTTTTGTTTCATGTTTCACCATATAAATAACTGAGAAATGATGTAAGAAGGGATCATTTTGATATCTTATTTTGAGCACACTACTTATTTCTGTTTACTTCAATGTTTTCTTTTTTTTTCTTTTCTCTTTCTTTTTTTTTCAAGACAGGGTCTTACTCTGTTGTCCAGGCTGGAGTGTGGTGGCTCCATCATGATCACATCATCATTGTGATCTCAAGCTCCTGGGCTTAAGTGATACTTATGTGTCAGCCTCCTATGTAAGTAGGATTATAAGCATGCATCACCATGTCCAGCTAATTCTATTTATTTTTTAATTTCTGTAGAGACCAGGTCTCGCTATGTTGCAACATAAAATATTTTCTAAAGTAAAATGATTACTAAAATAAAGCGTTTTCTAATTTTGAAGTAGAACCTCCAAATTTTTTTTATTTTCTTTCTTCTCCCTTCCACTCTTTAGCCTCTGCCAGGTAAATATTTTCCTCAGATACTAAAAAATGATAGACCAAAAATGCTTTATTTCATATACTATATTTAATATCTTTTATTTTGGTCCTTTTTCATTCAGGAAAATGGGTAAAACTGTAATTACGTACTTGGCTGTACACTTTGTGCATGCCCAAGCTGTAAAAATGGGTTCAGTGCTTCCTCAAGACTTTAGAAAAACTTGCCTTTTATTAGAAAAATTTTAATAAATTATTAACCAACTTATCACATTTGCTTTTTTTTTGAGACAGAATCTTGCTCTGTCACTGGACTGGAGTGCAGCAGCCATGATCTTGGCTCACTGCAACCTTCGCCTCCTGGGTTCAAGTGATTATCCTGCCTCAGCCTCCTGAGTAGCTGGGACTACAGGTGTGTGCCACCACGCCTGGCTAATTTTTGTATTTTTAGTAGAGACGGGTTTTCACCATGTTGGCCAGGATGGTCTCAATCTCTTGACCTCGTGATCCGTCTGCCTCGGCCTTCCAAAGTGCTGGGATTACAGGTGTGAGCCACTGCACCCCGCCCACATTTGATTTCTTAATAATTTATTGTAATTATTTTCACTGGCTCTTTCTGACTTTCTGTGATCTAATATATTCTCCATTCTTTTATTGTAAGTAAAATGTTTTTGCCACCCCCTGATCTCACACCTAATTCTTCACCCAGTTCCCCTTCTTTCCAGGACAGTGATACTGTTGCACCCCTCCCACATTACCATTTACCATTTCTTATTGCAACCTGAAAGACAGTCTCCATTTACTATTGCTAGAAATCTCCCAAACCTATCTTTTCCCTGATCATTTAATTCTATGATCTAAGTCCTGTCATCTTTCTGGAATTTTCACTTTTTATTTGTAAGAATGGGGTTGGAACTGTTTGACTCCTGGAGTTCATTCTGTGTCTAAATTAATCTTTGGGAAAAAAAGTTCAGCAAGATGGCAGAAAAGGACTTCTGGTACACATCTGCCCACAGAAACATCAATTTAAACAAGTATCCATGCAAGAAAATACCTTCACAAGAGCCAGGGAGACAAGGTGAGAGATTACAGCAACTGGGTGTAGAATAAAAATCAGAAAAGACACATTGAAGAGGGTATGAAGGACAGTTTTACATTATCCATGTCTCTCCTCTCCCAAACCCTGGCACAACATTGTGGAGAGACATACCTTCCTATTTAGAGAAAGAAGTGAACACTGGGCTACCTATATTTTAATACTGAACTATTCCAATAAAACCCAGCAGTAGGCAGGCCCTCAGAACCCCAGACTCCAGGCTGATATCAGTGAACTGAGCCTTCAGGTCAGCCCTGGCACCAGGCCCAGCCCGTCTCTAGGTCTGCCTAGCAGACATGATGAAAACTTGAAGAGTTTTTCTTGATATTCTGGTACAGGACAAAGATACCCACTCTCACCACTGCTATTTAACATGTACTGGAAGTCCTAGCTGGAGCTGTTAGGCAAGAGGAAGACATTAAATGCATCCAAACTGGAAAGAAAGAAGTTAAATAGTCCCTGTTGGCAAAAAACATGATTTTATATATAGAAAAGCCTAAAGACTCCATGAAAAAACAAACAAACTAGTAGAACAAATAAATGAATTCAGCAAAGTTGCAGGACACAAAATAAACATACAAAAATCAGTAGCATATCTATAAACTAATCATGAACTATCCAGAAAAGAAAACAATCCCATTTCCTATAGCTAAAATAAAATAAAATAAAATGCTTAGGAATAAATTTAATTAAGAAAGTGAAAGACTTATACAATGAAAACTATAAAACATTGATACAATAAATTGAAGAAGACACAAATAAATGGAAATAAATTCATGCTCATGGATTTGAAGAATTAATATTAAAATGTCCACATTGGCCAAAACAATCTACAGATTCAACACAAGTCTAATCAAAATTCAAATGACCTTTTTCATTGAAACAGAAATAGCAATTCTAAAATTTGTAAGGAAGCAAAAAACACCCTTGAATAGCCAAAGCAATCTTTATGAACAATAGCAAAGCTTCACATTGTCTGACTTTAAAATATACTACAAAGCTATAGTAATAAAAACAATATGGTGCTGACATAAACACAGATACATAGACCAATAGAACAGATTAGAGAGCGCAAAAATAAATCCATGCATTTGCAGTGAATTGATTTTTGGCCAAGATGCCAAGAACACACAATAAGGAAAGGACAATCTCTTCAATAAATATTTTTGAAACAGTTGGATAGCCACATGCAGAAAAATGAAATTAGATCCTAATTTCACACCACACACAAAACTAAACTCAAGATGGATTAAAGACTTAAAACCACAAACTGTAAAACTACTAGAAGAAAAACTAAGGAAAAAACTTCATGATATTGATATAGACAATGATTTTTTGGATAAGACCCCAAAAGTACAAGCAACAAAAGCAAAAGTAAACAAAAATGAGATTGCATCAAACTTAAAAGCTCTGTGCAACATATATCGAAAGAAATTGAAATTCATATGTCAAAGAGGTATCTGCACTCCCATGTTCACAGCAACATTATTCACAATAACTGAGATATAAAATCAATCTAAAGGTCCATCAACAGATGCATAAGTAAAGAAAGTGTGATATATATAAACAGTGGAATACTATTCACCCTTTAAAAAGGAGGAGAGGAAATCCTGTCCTTTGTGTCAACATGGATACACCTGGAGGACATTATGTTAAGTGAAATAAGCCTGGCATAGAAAGGTATATACCATGTGATTTCACTTTCATGTGGAATCTAAAAAAGTTGAACTCATAGAAGTAGAGAGTAGAATAATGGTTACCAGGGCTGGGGAGTGGGGTGTTTGGAGTGATGTCGGTAAAATGATAGGAGCTTTTAGTAACACAAGAGGAGTAAGTTTAAGAGATCTATTGTACACATGGTGACTACAATTAATAACAATGTATTGTATCCTTGAAAATTGCTGAAAGAGTACGTTTGAAGTGTTCTCAACACAAAATATAATAAGTATGTGATCTAATGTACGTTAAGTAGCTCAATTTAGCCATTCCACAATATTTAAGGTTTGAAAAATGAGAAAATGTCTTAATAGAAATAGAGATGTTTAAAAGAAAAAGTGGAGGAAAGCAAAAACCAGACTTAAACTTTCTATCACTAGGGAGGGAGCATCCTATGTGTGTGGAAATACACATATTTCAAAACATCATGTTGTACACAAATATAGTCTTTTATCAATTTAAATAATAAATTAAAGATTATTCTTTATGCTATGTTACCTTTCATTTCCTACTGTCCATAAAGTCATTCTATGGAGCTAATATAATTGATACTTACTTCTGTTAGAAATGCTGTCATTTTCAGTAATCTCAATAGTTGAATATAATATTGCCTAATTTAATGAGTGGTTTATTAATATACTAATAATTTATAATTAACATTCTTTTAAATATTTTTTTATTATTTCTTAGTAAATATCAATCCTTTCACATAAAATATTTCTACTTGATGAAAATAAATAATTTTATCTATTTTTCTTAGGTTATCCTCCCTCCTGTCTTATTTCTAAACTTTTAGTAGAATCCTACCCTTATTTCAGAAAATAATTTGTTATAGGCCTTCTGTTTTTATTCATTGTGCTAATTAGATTTTCAGAGCCCTGTATTTTTGTATTATGATTTAATAAAAATATACAATCTTTCTCTTAAACACACACATATTATACAAGTCTTACAGAGGCATATTCACGTTGTGCTTTTAGTTTTGCAACAGTAATAATCTTTAATATAAAATAAATCACTTCCTTTCCCCTGCATATGTCAGTGCTTACCACTTGTGTCATTTTCTTCACACCCTTTCACTGTAGAAACAGATGTTATGTGCCAACTGGAAGAAATAGTGCTAGCAGGCATATGTAGACCACCTGGCTACCTGGACAGAGTTTTGCATTCCCATGGCTGGATTTTTTTCCCTTTTGTGATTCACTTAGCCTTGCTTCGTGTTCAGCCCTTTAATAATTCCCAACAGCCAAAATCAATTGACTTCATGCAGAGGAATTACAGAGAGAATGGGATGGATTATATCACAGGACAATGAGCCATGCTGATCCTTCCCATTGAACATTTAGCCTGAAGGATGTTAAATACCTTTTATGTCAGCAAAGTTCCTTCAGATTGAATATCTATTTATAGATTCAATTGTAAAATTTTCCAGAGGAATAGCTATCTCTGATAATGTCTTGTGAAAGTTGTTTTTAATGTATATATGCCCAACCTCCTCAATAATAGAATCTATTTGTGTTTTGTATACACAATATGAGCCTCATCCAGAACTCCCTCCCTAGTGATAGAAAGTTTAAGTCTGGTTTTCTCTTTCCTCCACTCTTTCTTTTAAACATCTCTATTTCTACTAAGACATCTCATTTTTCAAAGCTCAAATTCTTAGTGATATTTCAGTTATTTCTCCTATGTTCTCCATATCCAATTAGTCACCAAATTTTTAAAAATTGTTTTCATATTATTTCTTAACATGTATTGTTGGTTTTTTTCCTGGCATAGACCTGTAGTTCTCTAATTAGTAGTCTTCTGTCCAGTTTTGTGCCTGTTCAGATATAGACTACACATTGATGCCATGATCTCAAAGTTCAGCTCTGATATTTTATTGTTTGAGATGGAGATGTACATTGTTTGAGATGTATGGTAATGCAGTTAAGAGGCTCCACGGTGTTTGAATTCTGACTCCATTATGTGTACCTTTAGGGGAGTTACTTAAACTCTCTGTACTTCTGCATTCCAAGTATAATACAGGAATAATAATAGTGTCTCTCATAGAGTTTTTTAGGGTTAAACAGGTTGACATATTTTGAGTTTTTAGAATAGTGCCTAGCACATACTAAGCCCTAGGTAAGTCTTATCTAGTATTATTTAAATGCTATAAATAAAGTCTCATTGGCTCCAGCACATCTTCATGGTATAGCCAATATTCTTTGAGATTTGTGCAGATATTTTACTCCAACACATAGCATTGAGTGTCTGGATTAGAGGAGACACTGACTAAAAATGAATTGAGTTTTAGGATACCAAGTGGCCATTTATACAATTGATAGAAAAATATAATGCCAAAAAATACTTCTTTGGACTCTAGACAAAAATGTTTCTTGCTAGAATGTGGAAACTGCTCATTGTATTTATAGTGGTTTTTCACTATTGATTTTGGTAAAATAAGGCAGCGCTGATCACAGTTTTATTGAATCATATTTAATATGTTTACATAACAGTGTATTTCAAGTGTGTATGTATTTGCCTCTCCTACTACATTGTGGAATCTTAAAGATCCTGGCCATATAGTGGTCCAGGCCATTTAATAATAGATCCTGGCCATATAATGAAAGAATGTATGGTTAAAAATCATAACAACAAGAGTACGCTTAAGTAAATATGCAATTCAATGGTTATGAAAATGTTAACCAAATTTTCATTCTTTCTTTCTTTTAGTTAGAAGAAAATTTAAAGCATAATGTATAATGTACAGTATAGAGTACCCATATTGATAATGCCTCTATCAAACATTTGAGGAAGTAGTCATTTCTGTCTTACCTTGCTAATTAGCTTTTACTTACTCTTTTATAAAGCATCTTGATGTACACTTATTCTCAAGGTGCAATGGAACTGATAGTGAAGGGTACTGAACTGAGGCTTTTTTTTTTCTTAGTGGGGATTAAAGCAAGATTTGGGAGCAAGGATAGCATAATGACTATAATTTAAGCTACTGCATTGGTCCTTATGAAGTGTCTGTACATTTAACACTCCATATGGTAATTACAACTTCCCTAGAATGAGTCAGGGTTGTTTATGCTTTCATAAATCAGGCAGCTGCAGCAGAGCAGACAGATTCCATATTAGCACTTCCTCCTAAGACCACGAATATGCTTAAAAGATTTTAGCAAATTTCTCTTGAATTGAAGTTGTTTGTTAAAAGTGATAGTTTTATGAGACTGCCACATGGAAAATGTCCTCCACTCTCAGATTTTCCATTTGTGATATAAATCTACCTTTAGTACCATTTTTAGAGGCATTAAAACTGATATAATAACCCCCAGCTGAGTTTGATAAAAGGAAAGCTTAATTTATAGGTAAGGTATGGTTATATGAAATGACAGCTAGGTAGGTTATGAGTAAGAGCTGAAAAAAATACACATTAATTAGTTGATAATTTATTTCCTGCACTCAATCTTCTGACTTTACCATGTGGAGAAAATTCTCATTGTAACAAATGCTAGCTTTCCAAATATTTTCTTTAATATAATGTTTTCAAATTACGTACAAATACATGGAACATTATCTGTGTTTGAACTATATTTTATTAAAAATAATACATCTTGAGGTGAGTGTTTATAATAATTGAAGCAAAGAGTATATAAATATACATATATGTATTATCATTGTGTGACATTTAATCATGTCACCTTTGGGAATTATTTTACATCTCAAGACTTAGTAACATAAGCCATAAGAAGAGAGTTTCCAACTATATTATATTTTTTTAGGTAAAAAAACTTAAAAAGTTGGCAAGAGAGGTAACAGTGTATATCAGAAAACAAAGATCCCCACTGAAAGAAAAAAAAATATGGTTAAAAGTTAAAACACTTAGAGTATACTTAAATGAATAAGCAATTAAGTGATTTTGAAAATGTTAACCAAGTTATTTTCTTTCTTTTTTAACCTAGAAAAGAATCTGAAACATCAACCATTTGATTTCCCTTCATTTTATATGTGAAAAACTGAAAAGCATAGAGGTTAGGTGAATTTTCTGAGGTCATTTATTGACAAATGGTAAAGCTAGACTTTGAAAGCAGCTCTCCTGACTTCAAGGTGATCGCTCTTTCCATTACTTCATTTCAAGACGTTGGGTCTGTATTATAGTAGATTTGAGATAGGATAAATGACTTCTCTGAGAAATTAGTGAAGTAGTGGTCAAAAAAAAATAAATAATGTGTGCAAAATGTCAAACTGAGTAATACACATTATTACTTTCTTTCCCAGAAAAATAATATTCTGTTTCTAACATATATTAACTAGCTTTTAATTTGGACCATTCTTATAAGCTTTATTTTCAAGTACCATTAAAATTATCCAAATGTTTCTACCAAGTGCTGTAGTTAAGTATGATACATTCTGATTGAGTCAGGCACAACATGTGCCATTCTTAGGATGCATATCCTCCTCTGTATTGTCCTGGTCTTACTGAATGTTGATTAAAACTCTAAATGGAATGATTATTTCAGCATTGATATTCTAAATTGACTGTATAGTAAGAAGGTAAGTGAAATAAATGCCTTTGAGAGTACAGAGTTGGCCAGGTGCAGTGGCTCATGCCTGTAATCCCAGCACTTTGGGAGGCTGAGGCAGGTGGATCACCTGAGGTCAGGAGTTCGAGACGAGCCTGGCCAACATGGCAAAACCCTGTCTCTCCCCAAAATACAAAAATGAACTGGGCATGGTGGTGTGTGCCTGTAATCCCAGCTACTAGCGGGGCTGAGGCAGGAGGATCACTTGAACTTGGGAGGCAGAGGTTGCAGTGAACTGAGATCATGCCACTGCACTCTAGCCTGGGCAACAGAACGAGACTCCGTCTTAAAAAAAAAAAAAAAAAAAAAAAAGTACAAAATTTTGCAGGAAGAACTTTAAGGCAAGACAGAAACTTCTAGAATGCTTTCTAGTTATTGAAAGAACAGTTTGATCCTGTGTTGGTGTGGCTTGTCATCACTTCTTTTCTCTCTTTCTTTCCCCTCAGTCCTATCCACTTACTGTAGATTCTAAATGTTCATGTCAGGACGTCCATGGGGATACATGCATCCTTACCAGGGAGCATATAAAAACTCTCTGACTAAAGCAAGGGTTGTTTACCAACAAAGTTTTTTTTGTTATTATCACTTTGAGTCTATTCTCGTGCTTGCTTTACCTTTCCTTTTTCAACTTGTTCAAAGCTCTCTTTCCCAGTGGACACTGAAACTACCTTCTTACCCTACCTTGTGGTATCTATTGACATCTATCTCTTGACAGCCTCCCTGGCTCTGAAGCTTTCCCTGACCTTCATGCTGTATGTATTTCTCTATGTCTAGCTTTGACTAGAATTTATTCTGGGTAACTCTTCTTGTCTCCCTTGACTAAGCTTCTGTAATACTTGCCCTAAATTCACAACTGGCTGCATTCCATGATTCAACAAAGCATTATTGAGTATTTTTTTCTTAAGGGAGTTGAGAAAATAATTGTAATGACCTATATGACCATAATGACATATATACATATATAACATAAATATAACAAATATTTATATGTTGTAATCATAATAATATGTTGCAATAGTTTTACAACTACCTAAGTATTTAGCAGCTTATTTTTAAAAATGACAGTCATTTATTAAGCACTTATGTGCCAAGCACAGTACAATTATTTTATGTGTATTTCTTTTTTTTACATGTGTCATAATAATATTACTTATAGATATCATGATCTTGATATCTCAAATTAGAATAATGAAGCTTGGAAGGGTTAAATCATTTAGCTTAAGTTTACATCTATCAAGTAACAGAGCTAGGATTTAAATCCAGGTATGCTGAACTCAGCTACATTGGGCTATTGTAAAATATTGTGGTACCACTGATGGAAGTTTCAGTCATAGTACCAATTTACATCTAGATAGTCTGCCTAGTTTGAGAATAGTGATTATTAGTGACCTCTGGTAGCTACAGCAGATCCCTGTATCTTTTTGCATCATTTTTAGGTGGCTGTTATGACACTGTTAACAATATTTATTAATGACTGGAAGTATTCGTTATTCTGTGTTTCAAATATTTACATGGGTCCATGGATATTCAAATATGTAAAAACTGAGAGATATGATTTGGATTCGAGTCCCTGCCCAAATCTTGTGTCAAACTGTAATCCCCAGTGTTGGAGGTGGGGCCTCGTTGGGAGGTCATTAGATCAGGGGGTGGATTTCCCCTTTTGGTGATGTTCTCATGCTAATGAGTGAGTTCTCACAATATCTGGTTGTTTAAAACTGTGGGGCAGCTTCCCACTCTCTCTTTTCCTCCTGCTCCAGCCATGTAGGACATGACAGCTTCTCCTTTGTCTTCTGTCATGATTATAAGTTTCCTGAGGGCTCCCCAGCCATGCTTCCTGTACAGCCTGCAGAACTATGAGGCAATTAAACCTCTTTCCTTTATACATTACTCATTCTCAAGTAGTTCTTCATAGCAATATGGGAACGGACCAATACACTGGATTCAGACTATTTTCTCTATAGCATATACTATGAAAGGGTAGATTATTCTCATTTTTCAATTGTTCTTTGATCAAGGATATTAGGTGGGGTTTATGAGCCCTCATGAGTTTCAGCTGTTATTTGCATCAACCCCCATTCCCATATGTGTGTGTATGTATTCTGTGTAACTTTCCAATAGATGTATTTATCTATAGATATGTTCATTTATCTATATGAATATGTGCTCATATTAGTATATTCTTTTTGTTGATGTACTTATCAGAATTTCAAAGTGGTCTGAGTTCTCAAATATGCTTAGACCCAATAGCCTAGTCTCCAAAAATCTACAATTAGGTAGGGAGAAATAGATTCCATCATAATGCTTTTTAGGAAAAATCAATAGTCAATTAATTTAGTAAAACATAGTATCATTTAGCCCCATTTGTCTTTTTTATGTGCAATCATAGAGTAAGAAATTGCAATAATTGACTT
This sequence comes from Homo sapiens, assembly GCF_000001405.40. Classification (NCBI taxonomy): domain Eukaryota; kingdom Metazoa; phylum Chordata; class Mammalia; order Primates; family Hominidae; genus Homo; species Homo sapiens. The sequence goes on from NC_000013.11 coordinate 80,746,120, forward strand.
TTGAGATCTTTCTGTGGACATCCTTGTTCAAAAATCCAGAAATCTTGCTTAGAGAGGAAATGAGATTGTGAAACTGGAAAAAAGAAACCATTTTCTGCTTCCTATACTGCTATACCTCTGTTGTGTTCTGTCTGTAAATTTAATCAGGCCCTTGCAAGTATTTATATTATTCTTAGCCTCAGTTAAATCTTAGACTGAGCAACAGAAATTTCAGAATTTGATTTATCAGATATTGAAGAAAATGAAATTGCTCTACACACAGTTTTGTTTCTTTTTGCTCCTTCTAGCACACAGTAGTGAAAGGGGAGAGTAGATTTACAGTCGGTACAGAGAAAAAAGAGAAAAGATGATCCAGTATTGCTGACAGGCCAAAGGACTTCTATGAATAGAGATTAGATTTTGTTTGCTTTCTTAACTACAATGCAATTACTTTGATAAGAAATATTAGTCTTGCTAGCAGTCTATCAATTTTGTTGATCTTTTCAAAAAACCAGCTCCTGGATTCATTAATTTTTTGAAGGGTTTTTTGTGTCTCTATTTCCTTCAGTTCTGCTCTGATTTTAGTTATTTCTTGCCTTCTGCTAGCTTTTGCATGTGTTTGCTCTTGCTTTTCTAGTTCTTTTAATTGTGATGTTAGGGTGTCAATTTATTGGGCTCTTTCCTTGTGTCCAGTTATTGTGATAATTCAATATATGTTACTAACTCCCTAAAACAGCTATTTGAGATGGTGCTATCATTTTACAAGTAGTGTAAGCAAGATTACACAAGCAGTAAGTGGCACAACCAAAGTCTGATGGGTATTCTTAACCAATTCTCTTCTTCATATTCTTCTGCACATCTCTTGACCTGACCTGCTTACAGTGTCTGCTCTATACATAAACAACTAATAGTTGTGTGTGTTTTGCAGGTTTTTTAAAATGCTTGCTAGCTTATTTTGGTTGAAATTAAGAAAAAGCTTGAGTTTGCTATTTACCTGGATTCCAGTAAAGATATAAATAATTGCTTTGTGAAGTAAAGAAGTGAAAATCATCCTAAGCAGGCAAAATGTGGAGTAAAAAATGCAGAACTAGAGGTGACCGTGATAGTCCAGAGAGGTTTCAGTATCGTGGTCAGTTCATCAGTCTCACCTTCCAGTTTTCTCCACAATGATGCTATTCAATTAGACGAAATATATGAACTTGTTACTTATTGTAATTTCTCAGGAATATTGCTGTCATATATCTATGATTGACTATAAGGAAGATGTAAGAAAATTAATTTTATTTATTTTTTTTTACTAAAGAAAACAGTATAGCCTAATTAATAAAGTGTGAGTGTTGAAAAGGATGATGCCTGGGTTCAAATCTCTGTTTGACAATCATTAATTGTGAGAATTTCAGAACTTACTTTTAAGCCCCTATTCTTTTAACCCTCTATTTCTTTGTCCTTAACATGGAAATGCTTTAGCTAAATAAACGTAATAGAATTGTTGTAAAGGTTAAATTGGGTGCTATATAAGATGACTAAGATTATTCAGGGCACGAAGTAGGAATAGGCTTTGATAAACAGTCATTTTGTTGCTCTTATTATTATCTTCTATCAAGAAATGCCATTGATATAAATTAGGTAATTAGTGAGTTACATTTGGTTCCAGCAAAAAAATGAACTTCTGGATTTAAATAAACCAGGCAATCTTATTTACAGTTTTTGAGATATAAAGAACATTACTTTCTTAATCTAAAACTATAAGCTCTATCATTGATATAAATAATGAGAAGCAACACATTTGAATATTTGAGACAGAAGCAAACACTTTATATCTATTTAAAAATGAATAATTTAGTTTCCCTGTATAGTTCGATATTTGTTTAAAAGCATTTTTTTAAAGCTAATCAGAACTTAATCTGATTATAAAATTTTGAAAGCCTTTCTCTGCTTTGAAAGACATTTTCTAAATTTTGAAACATTATTCTCATTTTGGATATAAAATCTCTCATTTGAGTCTCAAATTTTCAGAGAAATTGAGCTTTCTTTCTCTTATTTTTAAATAAGCAATTATACAGAAATTTTTTCTTATTCTAAGGCCACCCTGAATCCGGAGCAGCATTAGAAAGAGAGGATATGACTCCCTTCCACCAAAAACAAACAAATAAAAAACATGGATTGATGTGAGAGCAATTTCACATGTACATTGGATGGCAGAAGAGAGTGTGGAAGTGCTTCTGTACAGGGAGGTCAGGATGACACCACCCACTTGGAACTCAAAAGAGACCCACATTCACTTAGTAGCATAAATCTGAAAACCTTCCATGAAAGTGCATGCCTCAGTGGTTCTGGAAGTCTCACTCTTGTCTCACAATGTTTTTCATATAACATACTATGATTTGTGAAATACTAAATTCATCAAGCCTATAAAATATCATTAAATCTCTATAGCCTGCTTTGATTCCACTGTATGCAACTCTGCCCGCTTTTTTCTTAAATGTAATTGGGGATAAAATGGGAAAAGAAATACTCTCTCCTTTTGGAAGCAAAAAACTTGAATCCTTTAACCTTTCAGCATCTCAGTTTGTCTCTCCGTCAAAGGGTTGATAATATATCCCACATTTACTTTGTTCTTTTTTCGATGTGTGTGCTCTTCAAATGTGAAAAGCTTTTGCAACCTGGAATGTTGCTAATTATCATAATCTCTCAACTGGACAAGTGCTAAAAGCTTCCTAACTTGTTCTCTGCCTCTGTTCTTTCTTAATTAAAACTACTCTGTACACACAAACCCAGGGTTTTTTTTTTAAAACCATGAGTCATAATTAGAACTTTGAAATGCCTTCCCATTGAGAATAAAATCCAAATTTATTTTCCAAGTATTAGGGCCACATATAATCTGAGGTGTACCCACATTCCAAACTTACTGTGTTAAGCTTTGCTCATATGTGCCAGCTACACTATCTTTTATATTCCTCAAAAAACCTCTTGGTCACCTTTTATTTTCATATTCACTAAAATATAAAATTCCCAAGAACAGAAAACGTGTGTGTCTTATTCCCTGCTCTACTCCAAGCACCTAAGACAGTGCCTGGCACGTAATAGATGCCAAGTATGTGTTAAATGAACTTGCTTTCTACATACATTAGCTCCTTTTAGAAACTAAATAAAAAATGAATGAAGAACAAGCTCAAGTATTTAAAAAAATTTGTACATACATTTTATTTCAATTTATTTCGAAAAGCTTCAATTTTGTTTAATGGGTGTCATCTTGGTATTGTACTATGGTTAATGGCCTTCATTTTATTCATTTGTATTACACAATATGATACGTTGATTTGGTGTGCTGCTCCTATTTACTCATATATAAATTGTAACCCTAAAATATCAACAGAATACACAGAAGAAAAGTTATAGCAGAGAGCTAGCCCATAAATATAAGTAGAAATATCACTGCCCAAGAGTTCAAGGAGAAGGTTCTGAACTTTTGGATGAAGAAAATAAACAGCATGAGCAGAACTAGAGTGGACGTTTTATTTGTGTATGCCTGGAGTTCATTCAACTGTATACAATTATTATTTTCTATTAATATTTATTTTCTTTTAAGTTTTAATACTTTTAAGCTTCTTAGCAACTTAGAACTTTAATTATATCATAAGCTTAGACAATTCTCTTTCCTTTTTCCTAAGAAAAATCATGACATATCTCCAGTCAGGTATTACTCCTGTTTTACATTCAGTTTTCAACAAGCTGGGATAGAGATGATAGAGAGAAAGAGGGCAGTTGCAATGAGAAAATAGGTGCATTTTGTTCTTACGATTATCTTTGATTCTCTCTAAAGACAAGATATTAAATGACCTTTGGTTCATATTCTAAAAATCAGTAAGCTTATTCAAATTCACAAATAATTGCTCACTTCAGTAAACAGTATAGTTAAAAGTATTCAAAATCATAGCTCAATCAGTAAAAGTAAATAATAATATAACAAAATAATATTATCAAACACTTATTTAATACTATTTTTAGGACATTCTATAAAGTCCTTTAATTCTTCTATTTAATTAATGAATTTAAATTCACAACAACTCTATGAGAAGTACTATGTTTATTCCCATGATTTAGTTGAAAAATAAATGGAGCCTCAGAGAGGTTAAATAAAGTTTCTATGCTAGTAGATGAAAGATGGGGTTGCAAATCAGGGAAGTCTTTCTTTCTGAGCCTATAAAAATGAATTTCCTCAGGCCTTGATTTTTCCTGCCTTCTCTCTCTATCCTTATTTTAAGACTAATCAGCATGTGGTTTACACCTACTGTGATGGATTGCCATGGTTACCTAATTTAACAATACAGTGAACTTAAAAAGAACATTTCTGTAGCCATTCATTTCTAGGTGGTTTTGACTGAACATTTTAAAATACAGGTCACAGAATAATACTTATCACTGATATATCATTTTTACAAAATGGATCTTTCAGATTTAACATGCATTTATGTAAGTAATTGTAGGTACTTATAAAAGGCAATTTATAAATATTAAGTCACTTAATTCTTACTACAACATTATGAATGGATACTAATTATTATTCTTATTTAACTAATGATTCCAGCTGATGTTATATAGATGTGTATGAGAAAGCTAATGCTTTGGCTTGACTCTAGTCTGAGAATTCTCATCATATTCAACTAGAATTATTCCTCTTGAGGATTTTACTGAGGTATTATCTATGCTACAGTTAATTATTAGATTTTATTCTGATCTGTGCAATTTAAGTCCGGTCAATAATATTCATGCATCTTTGGGTAGAATTCACACACTGGAATATAATTCTAGAACATTTCTACAGTGGAAGCCTTTGGATGTTGAGTAACAGAGACCTCAACAAAAGCAGTTGAAGTAATTAACCATTGCCAAGAGTAAAGGTGTGTTCTTATGGTACAAACACAGGTTGGGTGCCGTGTGGCTTACGCCTGTAATCTCAGCATGTTGGGAGGCTGACGCAAGCAGATTGCTTGACATCAGGAGTTCAGGACCAGCCCGGGGAACATGGTAAAACCCTGCTTCTACAAAAAGGACAAAACTTAGTTGGGTGTGGTGGTGTCTGCCTGTAGTCCCAGCTACTCGGGAGGCTGAGATGGGAGGATCACTTGAGCTTGGGAGGTTGAGGCTGCAGTGAACCATGACTGTACTACTGTACTGCAGCCTGGGTGACAGAGTAAGACCTTGTCTCAAAAAAAAAAAAAAAAAACAACAAAAGATACAAAAAAGATACGAATACAAATACAGCTGATCATACTTGCCTTGGATTCACATTCCAAGTTACCCAAATTGTGTGCCTTTTTTGCCTTATTTATTTTACGCTACATGAGATCACCAAAATCATCTTTCTTTATTTCAGTGTATGTAGATGTGTGCATGCATATGTGCATGCACATACATACAAGAAGGATACATTTCTGAGCATCTCTTCTAATCATTTGGGGCCTTATGACTACTCCTGGCCAATGGGCAGAAGTGGAATTTGACATGTATCATTTCTAGATTAAGCAAAATACGGCAGATTGGAATTACCCATTCATTCTCTTCCCTTATTGCAGTGATTCAAAAGCCAAATGCTCCAAATACATAGGTAAAAGTGTAAGCCACCTGGATCCCTAAACCACTGCTTGGATGGGAGCTGCCTTGCAACAGCACTGTGTACAAAACATGCATTTATGTGTTAAACTACTGAGATTTGAGAGCACATTGATTATTACAGCATAATTTTATCTGCCAAGGACTCACCACAAAGCAGTTTAGATTGTTTGAACTGAGTGAATTTAAGGTAGGAAACTGGTTACACAGACTAGACAAAGGAAGGAAATTGGATACACAGACTAGACAAAGCAAACAAGACAGTAAGGCAACCCAGAGATTAGCCACAAGAAGCTGCTACCCTTGAAAGAGAAGGACAATGGGAGAAGACGGTATTAACTCAGAAGCCAAACCCATACAATGAGAGCTGGAACCACAGCAAGGCCTACCTCATGGAAACTAGAACAATGGAGGAAGGGGCTATCTAGTGGCAACTTGTAACAGATGTAACAGAAAGTAAAAGTGATGGGACAACCACAGTTCTCCCTTCTTCTCCTTCCCTAAACTTCTGTCAGAGCTTCTCATTGTCTTCTTCTGTCAAGAGTCCAGAGGGAAATGGAGCTAGGGAATGTTCATGCAATATAGACCAATGCAGGGGAGAGGCTTAAAGCAAAGTGTGAATCTTAAACAAAATGGCTGTTGATTGGCACAACAGCCTAGACTAGTTGGGTTAGTAGACTGGCTTTGTGGGAAAGAGCAAAGAGAAAGTGTGACTTCCTCCGGTCTAAAGGATTAATCTTTCTATTTGTCAAAATGAGAGTGCCAGTGATGGTACTGTAGATCAATAAACTCACTTTTTTCTTGATTTTGTCAAATTCCTCGTGGAGAAAGGAAAGGGAAGAAGAATGTTGGAATAAGCAAAAAGTAAAGTAATATTTTAAATGTTTCCTAGGCACCAATAGCTTCCCCCGGTTTTAGTCTTCTCTTTTAAATCAAGGGGCTTAATAGTTATGCCTGTAGTGAACAAGAATGTTGATATTGCTGTTGGAAGAAATTATCAGGGAATCAGAAAACCAGATCTTGAAGGGATGTGGGATTGCTTCCTGTGGCAGAGGCTGTTGGTTTGCACCCAGTTTTATTCAGGTTGACATTACATCTAGCTAAAAAACACACGTTCCAACTGCCTAGCAGCAAGTTGAGACTGTGTCATTAAATAATTATTAGTAAATTTAGGAAAAACGCTTAAAGAGAACTGACTTAGCTGAAAGATAGACGTTTTTATTACTTTATTTATTATTATTATTATTTTTAAGGTGGAGTCTCGCTCTGTTGCCCAGGCTGGAGTGCAGGGGCATGATTTCGGCTCACTGCAACATCCACCTCCCGAGTTCAAGCCATTCTCATGCCTCAGCCTCCCAGGGATTACAGGTGTGTGCTACCACACCTGGCTAATTTTATTTTTTTAATTAATTAATTAATTATTATTATTATTATTTTTTTTTTTAGTGGATACAAGGTTTCACCATGTTGGCCAGGCTGGTCTTGAACTTCTGACCTCAGGCGATCCGACCGCCTCAGCTTCCCAAAGTGCTAAGATTACAGGCATGAACCACCATGCCGAACAACATTTTTATTCTTATATTCTTCCCCATTCTTGTTATTTGAAATGCTGAATTGACATTTGGAGCTCCAGTGGCCCTGTTAAACTATAAGGTGAATCTCATGTATAGGCGTTATATAGTAGAATGATATATCAGAAAAGGAGAGGAAACCTAGGTGCTAGATGAATACAGAGCCAGCAAAGCTGCCTAACTGCATTCCTCTGGAGGTCTGCTATGTGAGCAATACATATGAATGTTTCAACTACTATTATTATTTTTGTTGTTGCATGCAGCCTAACTTAATCATTACAGTTTTTTTTCTTTTTCCTCCTTCAATAGCTTCTATTCGTCTACCTAAGTCAAAGAAGAAAAAGCATAATTCAAGTAATGAAATATTTTACCCAGTGTGGCTAGACCCACATTTATGGTGTATCATACCTGCCACCAAGTTGAGAGATTATCAAATGCACTGTATGGATCCTTAGCAAAAAAGAGTGCAACAGGCTTGCCTTTGGATATTCAGCAGTCAAGTCTTGCATGTTAACACATTTTTTTTTCTTTCCATATGTCTCTTTCTGACTGACCCTATAAGAGTTTGGAGATGAAGGTTAATGGACTGATGGTGATGGAAAAGATAGCTCAGAGATATTTCAAGCAGGCTGCAAGAATCTCCCAATTTCGTCCATCACAAATCCATCGTTGATCCTGGATGCAGGCTTCAGCTGGCAAAGGAAAGGAAATACAGAGTTCAAAGCAAGGTGAGGAGGCTCATGGCCAAAAAATCCCATATGCAGAAAACTCATGGCCTACCCCAGCCCATATGGAAGTTCACTGCTTTTACCATTTAGAGTTCCCAAGAGACCCTGTCTGGAAGGAGAAATAAATCCCGATCCCCACTAACACCAGATCCTGCTTACTGCATGTGGGATATTACTCAGCAGGCACAGCTGCCTTTGCAGTTTTATATAAACATCTGAGGCCTTTTCTAAAGCATGAATCTCACTCTTTCTTTTGGAGCACTTTCCTCCTAATTCCAAATTCCCTGCACATATATCATCTGCAGAAACTGGGCCAACTGTAAATCATATTAAAGGGTGAAAAGAGATAGTATTTGGGACAGGATGCAGGATGTCAAATATTTGAATCTTTCTCTCAATCCACTCTGCCCCAACTGCAATGTGCCTGAGAGATATGTGCACAGAGGGCAAACGAAGTGAAGGCATATTCTTCATCAGTATGTGGCTTTTGCTCTGAATCTCAATGTAATATCACATCCTCAGGCAGTTACCAAATGGAACTGGCCCCAGACTCTCACCTGTCAAACCAGTGGGAGCAGATCCCACCACTGCAGACTTAGGGTTTAACTTTGCATCACAAACCTTCCATCCATTAGGATGGAGGCCAAATCCCAATTTCTGTCTTTGACAATGATCCATTCTTGGTGGAAGAAGGATGAGTGAGGAGGAGGCAGGGGCTAGTCTCATTTGGCTAGTAGATGTGCCAAGAAGAGAACAGGAGCATTAGCTTTCTATAAGAAGCCAATGTGAAGACATTGTATTAACATTATTTATATCCCCTTCTTGAGGTATGAAATCTATTCACAGTTCATCAGAAAAGCTCTTTTAGCCTGCTCAATATCCATTCTCTTTTACTAGTTACAGTTCCCTGATTTTCCTTACTCTTTCTAGCTTTATGTGGTTAAATAGAATCAATCCTACATTCAGAAGGACAAATATGACCCATGCCCAGGCAATCAAAGTATTTCATCCCTCCAGCTACAGTGACTTAGAGATGGCAATGAGACCCAATGGAAGCCAATGAGTCTCAATTTTGGAACTTTCGTTAGAGCCCTAGAGAAAGCAATCACATTTTCAAGGAGAGTTTTTCCACAACTGTTGGCAGACATTTTATCATGGTTAAAGTCTTCCTGAGAATGGTGGCAACACAGTAACAAAATATTATCCCTAAATTTTTCAATTTAATGAGGAAATTTTTCTTTGTTTTCTTCTTTCTCCTTCCTACCTTCCTTTCCTTCCCACTTTCCCTCCTCCCTGTACTTTTGTTGCTAAAGCATATTTAAGTTACATTTTTGTTACATTTGTCTAATAGACGCTTTTTAGACATTTGCTACATATGTTTTTCAGATGAACTGCCTATTCTGCTTATATGTTAATTGCACATAGCTGGAAAATGTCTTACATCTTTTATTCATATATACTGTTTTGGGGGTTGATAGGTTATTGGACTAATGATCCAGAGTCCAGTCTCAGTAAGCAAAGCCACTGTGATGAGCTCTCAGAAACATGGAACTGCAGCTCTGTAGCATTAGCAGATTTCAGGAAATTTACTCTGAATCTATTATCCATTGATGGTTTTGTCATTCCATAAAAATAATGTTATTTTTGTTCTTTGAAATTTCTTCTATTTGACGGCGGAACTACCCATGTATCAATGTCATTTATTAATTGACATTTTTTCAACATAGCCCAGAGGATTGGTTTGTTTTTATTAGTGGTACAGCTTTTGGAAGGTGTTTCAGATATTTTGAGGCTCCCTATTGGGTCATTCAATTCAATTCTCCCGTAAATTACAGTTTATTTTACCCACTCTATAAGAAGGCCGGGACCGCGGACAGAGCATGAGTATTCATACAGCTTTTCTTAGGCTATTGAACTTAGAGTTGGCAGGGCATCTAACCATCACTTAATAGAATGTCTGCTACTGAAATGTTGCAGATCCGTGCTTCAAGTGAAAGAGTGAACCTTAAATATGTGCTTGAAGCTTTTCAGTGAATTGAAACCAAGAGCTCCAAGTTGTAGATGTATCAAGTTTCATTATTTGCTAGCCTCAAGCTGGCAAACTGGAGGGTTCCTGGCAGGCACTGTCTTCTGAATAAAATGTTCTCTCCAGGCTAAGCATGAAGCCATCTGTAACAGCTTAAATTGCTTTCTTAGTCACAAGGACAAAGTAATGGTGTGAGTGAAATAATTATTGCAAACCCTGAAGACTTGCTTTTGCCTCCAGAGTATCCTACCTGCTGGGGGGTGTTGTTGCATTCTGTTCTCCTTGTCTGAGTGCTCTCCCCTGCCTTCGTTCTGGCACTAACTGTCCCTACATCACTCTCACAAGGGGTCAGAACTTCCCTTTTATTTTACAGAAAAGCTTCTCCTGCAGACTACCCAAAATTTTTAGTAGAAAACCAACCAAGGCCATATTATTTACTCTATGGCAAACAGTCTGGAAATTTATTAAGCTTTGAGGGTAGGTCTCACACTTCCAAACCCTGACAGATAGGCTAGAGCCATCTCTTAACTCTCCACGAAGCCTGGATTTGCATTAGTAGGCTAAATTATCCATTTCCACTCTTTCTATTCCCACATACTTCTCAAGGGATCTAAAACTTCATCAGGTTAGAAAAATCACACCAACCACCATATGACTTTTCTATCCTCTCTCATATTTGTTCATATTTCATATATAAGGTGTCAACACAGCCTCATGTAGCCCCTCATCACTGTATAAAAGAACCCTGAGGATTTACTGTGCTGGTGGACATTTGCATTCTCTATATATGACAGTCCCCTAACAATTTACCTTGTTTTTTGGTGTATGATGTCCTGTTATCACCCATTTGCAGGCATAAGAAAGCTGGAATTACTCATTATTTTAGAACTAGTAAGTTATGCTTGTCTCGTATATTATCTTTTGCAAAACAACACAAATATAAAGAAATTCCAGGACAAGTTTCCTCATCATTGTGTAAGTTAGTAATATAATTTTTTCTTTTATTTCTCCAGGTAATTTCTAATAGAAACTATGTAGGCTTTGCATATTTCTTTATTCCAGCAAAATCTGACCTTTGCTACCCATTCTCTTTTCTCACAGTTTTATTGTTAAGATTACATAGCATCCTTCGGTTCTCCAATTTGACTCTGGGAAGCTCTGTTCCCAAGCTACCAAGTGTCTGAGACTACACCTACTTGCTCAATAGCTTATCATGACTAATGACCATGGATGATGTCCCTGAAGACAAGGTGGGCAAATCTTTTGAACAGGCTTTCTCCAATTGGCACCTGCCTAAGGCATATGCTGTGATATCACTTTTGGATATTTATTGTCAGTTTGCTAGAATCCAACTACTTTAAGTACTTTGCACTCTCATTGCTTACTCAGATTCTGGGGCTAACTCACAAATTTCCCTTGGGTGCAAGGGGGATAAATCTCACTAAGATGTATCTCTATTTTTATTTTTCTCACAAGCCTGAGTTCCTTTCCTTCTTTATCTCTCTGACAAATTCAGAGGCTTTCTTTCATGCTGTCAAAATCAGCGCTGGTCCGCAATATTTTCATTCATAGTTTCATCTAGAATATTATCTTGTTTCTTTCTATAGCTAAGACAGCACCAAAGAGGCTTTGTCATAGTGAAGAAAATTGATGTCATTGAAATTATTATGCTCAGGTTAGCATGAGTCAAATTCATTTTATGACTTTGATCTTCACACTTGAATGAAAAGAAAAGGTACATATAATGCTCTACAGCTTCAAGTAAGTGCACTGAATTATATGTCTAAGAAAATGAAAGATACATCTTTCCTGGAATAAAAGTTACCATTAATTTGGTGCCTATTAAGTGCTGAGAGATTGATGTAAATTGGCTAAAGCAATCTTTATAGGAAACTGGTGAACACTGCTACCATTTTGTTGAGAAGGAGTTGAGATTCAGACAGGCTGATATACCACTGTCACTGCATGACTGCTTGTCATCCTCTATTGGTTCATCAAGTCTGCAGATTTAGAAGTAACATTTTATCCACAGAGAGAATGGGTCTCAGGCTTTGTTTTTTCTTTAAGTGTGCTTTGATTCACTCATTTTATTTATCCACTCATTCAAATATAGTCACTTAGTGCCTCTTATATAGCAGATTGTACTAGGACAGATATTCAGAAAAATAGTTCTTAAACTTTAAAGAACATCAAAATCATGTGTTAAAAATGCAAATGCTCAGGATTTAGACCTACTAAATTAGATATTTTAGGGGGAGGAGGAAGAGGTAAATCCAGGGTATTTATCTCTCTCTATATATAGTTAACAAACTCCCCAGATGATTATAGATTACCATTACAGGATAAAAAATATTATAATTCTTCTGTATTGAGAGGTGAAGCTGGCTGGGCTTCTGGGTCCGGTGGGGACTTGGAGCACTTTTCTGTCTAGCTAAAGGATTGTAAATGCACCAATCAGTGCTCTGTGTCTTCCTAAAGGTTTGTAAATGCACCAATCAGCACTGTGTGTCTAGCTAATCAGGTGGGGACTTGGAGAACTTTTCTGTCTAGCTAAAGGATTGTAAATGCACCAATCAGCACTCTGGGTCTAGCTAAAGGTTTGTAAACGCACCAACCAGCACTCTGTAAAAATGGACCAATCAGCACTCTGTAAAATGGACCAATCAGTTCTCTGTAAAATGGACCAATCAGCAGGATGTGGGTGGGGCCAAATAAGGGAATAAAAGTAGACTACCTGCTTTTATAAAAAGACAAAAAATAATGGATGATGGTGAGGATGCAGAGAAAATAAAACTCTTATACATTATTGTTAATGTAATTCTAGAATAGCCACTATGAAAACAGTACAGTGGTTTCTTAGAGAACTAAAAATAGAACTATCATACAATCCAGAAATTCAACTACTGGGTATTTATCCAAAGGAAAAAAAAAAAAACCCAGCACTTTCTTGTTTATTCAGCACTATTCACAATAGCAAAGATATGGAATCACCCTAAGTTTTCATCAATGAACAAATGGATAAAGAAAATATATGTATGTGTGAGTGTGAGTGTGTACATACATGTGTATACATATGTGTGTACATTACCTTGTGTGTGTATATATGTACACAAATAGTACTACGTTAATAGTGTGTACATATATACATACAGTGTTCCCTTGTGTGTGTACAAATACATATATACATTATTGTTCATGTAATACTAGAAAGGCCGCTATGAAAATAGTACATATATGTACACACACAAGGGAATACTATTTAGATATAAAAAAGAATGAAATCATGTCATTCGCAGCAACATGGATGGAACTGGAGGTCATTGTGTTAGGTGAAATAAGCCAGGCACAAAAACACTGTCCTCACTCATATGTGGGAGCTAAGAGTTGATTTCATGTTAGAATATAGAATGATCTCTTTCAGTGGACAGGAAGAATGTGTCTGTTGGAGGGAGGGATAATGGGAGGTTGATTAATGGATATAAACATATAGTTAGACAGAAGATGTAAGTTCTAATGTTCAATAGCAGATTAGTATGACTATAGTTAGCAACAATGAATTGTATATTTCAAAGTAGCTAGAAGAGAAAACTTGAAATGTTCCCAGCCTACAGGAATGGTAAATATTTAAGATGATGGATATCACAAATACCTTGACTGGATCATTACACATTCTATGCTGTAACAAATACATGTTCCCTATAAATAAGTAAAATATTATGCATGAATTAAAATAAAATAAATTTCTAGGCACAGTGCCAGTGAGAAATATGTCACATAGACAAATTACACTTCCCCACCCCCATCTACTGTTAACCGTAATTTTTTTCCAAAAACTTCCTATTTTTTTCCACAGTTATGAGACAAGAAACGAAACTGTGCTGTTTAATATGCAAGGCAGTTCACAATCAGATGGCTGTTTTCCTAGTAAATATGTTTTTCACTCCCCTCCAACCATTTAACTCTTTCTTGCCATCTATGTTGAAGTTAAAAATCACAACATATTAAAAATACAACTATGTAATTTCTAAAAGTTATTCATGGCACAGCTTGTCTTTTAGATCATAAAAGAAATCAGTTAGTGGCAATTCTCTTACATTCTAGACCTTGGGTTTCGGCCTTATTTAAGTCACAACTTTTTAGCAATGATTATAGTTCTTTTTCCTATAATCAAGCATGAGATGAGATGAAATTTAATTTCTGGGGCCTGGACAGTTAATCACTTCTGAGGCAGAATAATAGGATCTGGAAGCAGGGAACCTAAGGCTGTTTCACACCAACTTCCTACAACTAAGATGAAAGGAAAATCCTAACTTTTCATGCCTAAATAACAAAAGGACCAGAGGCTACTCCCTTTGACCTTTTCTGCCATGCAGATGGGAAATTGGCTGTCTACAACAAATCAGACTGATTGCAGGTGGAGTCTTCTTTTGCAACTTTGTAATTTCACTCCAGCCTCTGAATGGCTGCTGCCCACAACCAGTCAGACTGATTTCAGGCGAGTCTTCCTTTGCATAGAAGTATAACTTTGTAACTTCACCCTAGCCTCTGATTGGTTCCAAAGTGCAACCAATCAGATGTTTGCACATGAGTGTGCCATTTGTAACTTCACTTCAGCCTCTGGTTGGCCGCTTTCTGCAACCAATCAGACTGATTGCAGGCTACAGCTTCATTTACATGAGGTGAGCATGAAGTGGCCAATGGGAAACTTCTACAGAGTATTTGGACCCAAGAAGATTCTGTATCCAAGTCCTTGAGCCGCTGCTCGCGTCCAGTCCCCTCACTGTGGAGTGTACTTTTCATTTTCAATAAATCCCTGCTTTCGTTCTTTTGTTGCTTCATTCTTTCTTTGCTTTGCTGGGCGTTTTGTCCAATTCTTTGTTCAAAATACCAAAACCCCGGACAACTTGCAGTCACGACCCTCTCTACCAGTGACAACTTCCTTACATGTTCTTTAGATTCTGTGGTAAAAGAAAGCTCAGTGAAGTTGATGCACCAGTCACTCTTAGGACCTTAAGAAGGAAGGAGAGGGAGTTCCCACCCTCAGCTGCTGGGGGCCTTCCGTGGCCATTGGCACAGTGACCTCTGTTGAAGCAGAGGGACAAAGAACCATTAGACTCTGTAAGGAACTATTGAGGACTTTTAGTTGCAAATTCCTTGAGACACATATCCTGCAATAAAATGTATAAATGCCACTGAGGATGTATCCTATTATGGATAGTTATTTTGAATGCACATGAACACTCTTGACCTTATGCTTTTCTGACTAATGTGATAGCTGTGTGTGTGTGTGTGTGCGTGTGTGTGTGAGAGAGAGAGAGAGAGTTTATCTGTCTGCTTTTGAGTCCTGGAAAATATTAATTTATTTCGTTTATTATTTTTATTTTCGGTTTCAAAGAGGAACTAGAAACTGGCTATATGAAAGATATATATTATTATGTGTTTAGATTAATAATGTGAATATGAGTGGTAAAACACCAAATGAGTAATAAATTTACAATTCTCCTCACTGTTGAGGCATTTGCCACATACGTGCACTTCAGCTGGTTACTATTTTAGTTTTCTCCTCTGTAAAATTGGAATAATAAGGTCCTTGCCTCATAGGATTGCTATAATTATTCAGAGAGATAATGCTATAAAATTTTTAGTTCAGTATCTGGCACATAGTAATCCTCCATATTATTATTATTTTATTATTTCTCATTTATTATACTTTCACAATCAAATGGTGATTAGAGTTGTGCACATGATTGTATCAATCAGTATATTTTCTCATACCAGTTTTTATAATCTTTCTTCAAATTTTCTTCACATTTTTTCGATGTGTTTATCTCACTACTTTTCTAATCATCAAAAACAATAGTAACAGATTGTCTTTTTTATATAGAACATTTTCATATTTTCTCTCATTCTCACTACAACTAAATGAACCAGATATTATAAGTTCTTTTTCTTTTTTTATTTCCAAGATGGAGTCTCACTCTGTCAGCCAGGCTGGAGTGCAGTGGCATGATCTCGACTCACTGCAACCTCTGCCTCCCGGGTTCAAGTGATTTTCCTGCCTCAGCCTCCCAAGTAGCTGGGATTACAGGCCTGTGCCACCACATCTGGCTAATTTTTTGTATTTTTTAGTAGCGACAGGGTTTTGCTATCTTGGCCAGGCTGGTCTCGAACTCCTGACCACAGGTGATCCACCTGCCTTGGCCTCCCAAAGTGCTGGGATTACAAACATAAACCACCACCCCTGGCCCTTCTTTTTGGGATTACAAACATGAGCCACCACCCCTGGCCCTTCTTTTTCTTTTTAATAAATAAGTATAAGTGACTTTAAACATTCATTCTTTAGTCTTTCATTTTTAAAGTTTCTATTATTAATATTTTATGAACTATTTTATGGTCTTGCCCAACATTGTAACAAAGATATGACATTACTAATATTTGAACTCTTTTCTTCTGACTCTAATACCATACACTTCATTGCCTATTAAATAATACTTGGGCCACTACAAAACTTTGCCAACCATCTACTTCATGGCCACATAATCTCAACTTTTTATCAACTTTAGGGTAGATTGCTTATAAACTATTTCAGACCGGTGAGAATCTATGACTTTTTAATTATCTCCCAACATGATTTCACAACTTTTCTAGGATCTATGTTTTCATATAATGGTTCAGAACTCCCTCTATGACAAAACGACTACATTCATCTATATCCCTCATGCTTCAGTCTAAGGGAATATACTATGCCAGATATAGAGACAAATAAAGCAGGTGAGACTTAAAAAGCCTGGAGTGTCGAAAGAGCATTTCTATTTTAGTATCAAAGAAAATGAGGGAAAATGCCATACAAAAATTGAGAAAGAGAACTCCAGGTGGATGAAACAGCAAGTGCAGAAGCTCCTAGGATATGTGAAGGGTCATGAGAAGAGTTGTCTGTTAGCAGCGGAATGGATGAGGGAGAGTTTTAGCACAGATCAGAGAGTGAAGAGGGAACAGCAGATTTTGCAGGGTCTGAAGACCACTGGGAGGATTTTTGTCTTTCATTTGGAGATGTGGAGCCTTGGCAGTTTTTGGGCTGAGGAGTGGCATGATCTGACTGAAGCTTTAAAATGTGAGGGCAAGGGTAAAAAGAGGGGACCACTGCCCCTCTAGGGGTGACTTTCCCCACACCTTCAACACTTTTGTAAATTATCTCATCTTCTAACAATTTTACAAAACAATAGAAACAAAATAGTTAGTGGACTACTCAAAGCTGATATTTGTGGCTTATTAGAAGAGTATTGGATCAATTCTTCTGTATCTTTACAGACCTTTTAAATCTAGAAAACAGGACTCACACCACTCACTGTTAGTAATTCTTTGATTTTTAAAATATTTTACCCTTATTGCTATTTATCGAGGACATTATTGGCAGATATACACATTACCCATATGTGCAATATTTACCTATCTATGCAATATCTATCTATGCAAAGCATATATATACATACATATTCATAAATATATATATGTATATGTTTTATAAGTTAGTAAATCTTCATTTTGTAGCAGAAATACATGATATTCTCATAATAGACAGCGAGGTAATTGGGGAAATCCTCAAGTACTGCAACTATCCAATTATAAAGCACTTTGAGAATAGGAATCATATCTACTTCATTTTTATATTCCTCCATCTGTAGAAAAACTCTCTGTACAAGAGCTACTTTCAAAACAGCTATGAAAATCTTTGCATTAATTTGCTAATAAAATCTGGTAACGATAATGAGAAGGACTCAAATTTGTATTGAATGCCTACCAAGTTCACCAGGACTCTCCTTTTTCCAAAAACTATCTCCAATCCATAGGTATACTCTAGCCCACACTACACTGCCAAGTCGTGTTTTGGCAAAATATGATTCTGGCCCCTCTTTATAATTAATTGGGCCAGGAGTGAGTACCTGAGGGTCAAATAAGTCTCTCTGTCTCATATTTAGAGTTAAGACCAAAGGAAGACCTATAACATGGAAGATCATGATCCATCTGCACTCTTGGTGAGAGAAGCAAAGAAGTTATCTTAGAAAGAAAATAATTGAAGCTACTATCATGTAGTAGATGTGCACGGGTCGTGAGTAGTTTGACTTTACAATTTTCTCTTTCTAGAAACTTAAGAGGTGTTGACTTACTCCAAGAGAATTTTTGTATCCTTATATGGAATTATTACTTTCTACCTAAACTAGCTCTGGCTGATTTCTGCTACTTAATAAACATAACTTTTCATTCTTCTGATAAGGCATTTAAACATTACTAGACCCAGCAATATTGGTTTAATGACAGATATGGTACACAGGATTAAATCAAACTTTACTAAAAGCCAAATAGATTTGATTTAGTACTCCTTTTTAAGAGGCAATTTCAATGCATGAATAGTCAATTAATTATAATGCTTGCACTGATTATTTATAAAGACATTTGGTTATTATCCAATACTCTGCCCTTGTCTTTCTGTAGACTGTTTTTTCAAAAATAAATATTATGACCGTATAAGAAGCACTTAAAATATTATGTATTTCTATGCAATTGTTATCCTATTACATTTAGGTAAGAAAAAAAAAAGAAACACCAAACGTTAATTTATAATAGTGTGTTATAAGTGGATTTCAAGTGAAGACTGGAATAATACATCAAGGGTTTTTTATTAGTTCATGAAATCTTCAGTTTAGTGAGGTTTAAATAAGGACATGAAAATATTTATAATTGTAACTGAGTTATAAACAAATAAATGGTCTACTAGAAATCAGGAGTCTAACTGGAATTATTGACTCTCCATGGAGAGTCAGGCTGCACACATTTTGTTCTGTAGTTACAGGGTTGTAAGCAGTTTCTGTATAGGTTTTTGTCTAGACTTATAAAAACTTTCAATAAAGCTGTGGAGACATACACCAATTGCTTTCTGTCTCATGGAAAAAGTTGTAGAACCGAAGTCATGCTACTTGCTATAAAGTGGTTTCTGAGTTTGTAGCCTTTCTTTTGTGCTTAATCTGAATCAAAGAAAGAAAACCAGGAGCTATGACTATTAATGACACAGTGAGAGAGTTGTCTAGAAAACTTGTGTTGAGCAAGATTTTTATCAACTATGAAAGTAAGTGAAGTAATTGGTTCATAATAAGAAACATCATTGTGGAACAGACAATCTAGCATTCATTCATTTTGTGGTACTACTTTCATAACTAGGAAAAGTTAAATTTTAATTGCAGTAAAATATTGAAAACATGACGAAGAGTTTGTCAGTCAACTTAAGAGGTCTATTCTCTATAATTTTATTATTGTAACTTTCTTCATGATGCATTTTAAACTAACATATTCTTGGAGTTAAGATAAAACCTGTACGATTGAAACATTCAAAGTAAAAGTAAGTTACAGACACAGGAAAGTTATTTCCATATCTTAGAAGAGCTTTCATTTTACCTGTTGCCCTTATGTCTTTATTTTGTTGGGATACTTACAGTAGTTATAAAATGCTTGAGCCTTACTAGTTACTGGGATTGGTTAATTTGCCATTTAAAAAAATGCTCAGATCAATGGAAATCAGAGTTCAGAAGAGTTGGCTTTGCTTCCTCTTTGATCCCTAATCCCACAATGTTGGCAGTGAAGACATAACAGAGTTTACAGAAGAACTTAAACAGGCCTGTGTATGAGGAATGAAAACATAAGGATTTGTTTCAAAGAAGGGAAGATCTCAACCAGAAGTCTGTGAATGTTTATGAAGAATTTTCAGATTAAGAACATAGGCAGGTAAAGAATTAGAAAATACAAATTTAAAATTAGGAAAGTAAAAATAGCACAGCATGCAATATAAAATTACTAAAATGGAATTTGTCACCAAATTCTGGATCAGGGTAAGAATTTTTAGATGGATAGCAGTAGAGATGAGAATGGAACATCTTAATCCAGATCAGTTTCCTAAACAAGCTCTTAAGGACAAATAAGCAGGAGAAATTATTAAAATCACAACAATGTGTGGGCCAATTATAACTGTCTGGTAAGCTGGCCTCAGTCGAATCCTTTCTGTTGATCTGACTTGGAAGGTGCAAATAAATTTGCAGGGCAACCCCTGACAACCAACTTTGCATCTTATATAAATGACTTATTTTCTCCTTTGCCCTCCTTTGCACAAGGTATGGAAAAAATATAAATGTAAATATATATATATATTAAACATAGCTAAAATGCATTAAAATTAAAAAAATATATTTCTTGAGTGCCTAATGTGTGTAAGGCTTTATATTAGATGTTAGATAAGATTCAAGGAAATCTACTGTGTTCAACAATATAGACTCCAGAGGATGAACCAGACATTTAAACAAACACTATCACAGACTTGATCAGTACAGACAGCAAGAAAGCCATCAATGAGAAAATTCAAGAAACTAGTCTTAAGTTTCAAATAAGAAAACGAGAATTCCATGGAGAAGAGCTTTTTCTTAATGTCACTATAATAGTGTGGCCATGACAGTTCTATTGACAAGGTTTCTGAGTTTGTCACCGGCTGTCAACCTCAGATTATATTTACGAAGTCAATTAAGTTCTATTAGAAAATTCAATCTATCTTAACCATTTATTAAAATGCCTGAAGTATTAGGTAATCAATCATTTCCAATCAAATGGATACTACCTTTGTGTTGTATAGACTTAACAAAGCTACTACTGGCAGTAATTTGATAACAACTGATTACAAAATAAACAAGGATTTTTTCCCTTTATAAATTTTTGACATTTTTATTTCTGTGGCTCAGAAAATATTAATCAATAAAAACTTTTTACATGATGTGGACTATTGAAAACTTGATTCAAAATTATAATACTAAAATTATTAAGGTCAAAATTATTGACTTATTTAGCAAAGTTCATATGCTGTAAAGGAGTAATCAATTTTTATATCATTATCCCCTATAAGAATTTACATTCTTATATCATTAAGTAACTAATTCAAATAATAGTTTTTCTGCTTTTTGTACACAATATTTTTCAAATATGAGAAACACAACAGAAAGATTGTTATAAAATACAAACATCACCTTATATAGATAAGCATAAAGTTAAGTAAATTGTTATTATGCTTATAGCACTGACATAACTAAAAAATGAAAAATAAAACATTTATAAAAACAAAAGACAACATTAATTTGTTGACTGATGATGATGGTATGCTTTGTATAAATTACAGTGTAGAGCTGAATATAATGCTGACTGTTCCTGTGTGGATATTTTGAATCTGACATACCTAAAATAGCATGTAATTTGTAGTGAGTAAATTCTTATACAGCTTTTCTCTCTTCAAATTTCTTTTGAATTTGTGAAACATACTATGGCACTATAATGCCATTCAGATATTACTTAGAAAAACATCTAAGTTATCTGGTAAGTTCTTATCTGTTCTTCTATTGTTAGTATAAATACTGGCCAAAGCAAACGTGTGCATTAAATTCCCATGAAAGTGAGGTTAAGGGGATAGAAAATGACAGAAAAGGAAGCTTTAAAGGAGAGACCAGTGTGACAGGTAGACCAGAATCCTGAGAGAATGATGTTTCAGAGGTCAAAGCTGTTTTAAGAAGGGAATGAACAATAACATCAAACGTGACTGAGAAGTCACATAAGAGAAGGCATGAGAACTGACCACTGCATTTGTAATAGGGAGGTCATATGGCAAACTCACAGAAATTCTAATCAGGTGTTTTGACCTAAACTACAGCCACTGTGGTTGGTGTTTTGGGGTTTTCTCATCTACCTTTTTCAATACATCCTCAGTTTCTCAAAAGTGCATGGTCTTCAGTCTCTATTCTCAAGAACGTCCTTCCTGGCAACCTTTCTCCTCCTAGGAAGGAAGCTCAACCTCACTCCCTTTTGGACACATTCTCTCCTCTTATTGTGATGCTTCATTCTTTTGGGTTACTCTTCTTCATCTCTTCAGCCTCAGTTGTTGGTTATTCTGTCCATTCAGCTCCCATTATGGATGCTGTTACTTGCTTTTACTTTATTTGCTGTAATAACAATGTCTTCACATTTTCCCTTTTTTCTTTTTTTTTTTTTTTGAGACAGAGTCTCCCTTTGTCACCCAGGCTGGAGTGCAATGGCACGATCTCAGCTAACCATAATCTCTGCCTCCTGGGTTCAAGTGATTCTCCTGCCTCAGCCTCCCGAGTAGCTGGGATTATAGGCATGTGCCACCATGCCTGGCTAATTGTTTTATTTTTAGTAGAGACAGGGTTTCACCATGTTGACCAGGCTGGTCTTGAACTCCTGACCTCAGGTGATCTGCCTGCCTCCATCTCCCACAGTGCTGTGGTTACAGGTGTGAACCACTGTGCCTGGCATATTTTCCTTCTTTTTGAGTCACATCATGTGTCTCTTTTTATGTTGCTGCCTTAATTTGTCCATCCTTTGTATGTGTGGTTGTGGTAATGGTCATTTGATGGATTCCATCAAATGCTTAAGATGGTTTTGTGTTTTTAAGGTCTAACATGAATTGGAATACTTGCATGCAGAATCACCTTTCAACACTGACCTGGCAGTTCTTACACAGCTGGTTCTTGAAGTCTTAAACTGGGGGGGGAACATCATTTTTGTTTTTCAGTAAGTCTAGCATTAAGCAATTGTGTCCATGATGAATCTTACCTGCCTTCTAAGGAGGGACTCTATCTAGCAGCTAGTTTCCTATTGAACAAGACTCTTTAAAAACCAAATATCAAAAAGTAAGCTAAACTGGCTACATTTTAAAAGTCCAAGGTTGCTAAAGCAATGCTTATCACTGCTGCTAACATGTTTATTGTGGGGGATCTTGGGAATGATAGTTGGTTCAACAGTATTTTACTTCTAAAACTATATGTTGCTTCTTAGTCAAATGTTTCCTATTAAAAAGAAAAACAGTGATGCTACTATTTTAAAAAAGTTTGGAGGAAGAAGGGAAGGGAAAACTCTAGCCACACATGTGAAACTGTGTATGTAACACACAAAACACACAGTGTAGAATTTTAAAAAGTTTTTACATATATTATCCCATTTTATCTTCATCATAGTCCTTTACTATAGATATCTGTATGATTTTTTAATATGGAAAGTGAGGCAAGCATTTATTAAGTTTGTAGGATCTTCCAGGCCTTCAATGGCAAGCACAGTTTAAAGCAGATGCAGATAAAAGGTCACACTCAGACGTTAAACAAATTATATGGAAGTTCAGTGGCAAAGAGATGCAGATATTTACTACAGATGGATAGCTGTTCAAGACAAAGCAGAGCCTTTGCCCAAGTCCTTTACTGTTTTTATGTATGCTGCACATGATGACAAGCTGTATGAATAAAATGGCTCCAAGAAGAAGCTAATCAAATATGCAATTATGTAATTTTTAAATTAATTTCATAGTTAATAGTTGAGGGCCTCTTTTGTGGTAGTAGGCACAGTGCTATGATCTTCACTACTCATTTAAAAGCATATACAGTGTTGCTTAACCAAGGGAATAAGTTCTGAGAAATGCACCATCAGGCGATTCTGTTATGTGAACATCACAGAATATATTTACACAAACCTGGTTGGTATGGCCTACCACACATCTAGGCTATAAAGTATATATAGCCTGTTACTCCTAGACTGGAAACCTGTAGTGCCTGTTACTGTGCTGAATCCTGTAAGTGACTGTAACACAGTGGCAAGTATTTGGGTACTAAACATAGACAAGATACAGTAAAAATACAGTATAATAGATTAAAAACTGGTACACCTTTGTATGTACACTGAACTACAAAAGGAGCTTGCAGGACAGGCAGTTTTTCTGGGTGAGTCCATGAGTGACTGGTGAGTGGTGAAGGCCTAGGACATTACTGTGCACTACTGTAGACTTTCAAAACACTGTATACTTAGGCTACACTAAATTTATACAAAAATATTTTTCTTTCTTCAATAATAAATTGTCTTTAGCTTACAGTAACTTTTCAATTGCGTAAAGTTTTTAATTTTTGAAATCTTTTTGACTCTTGTAATTAAGCTTAAAACACAAACATTATATAGCTGTATTTTATAAAAAATAAATTCCAATGTATAGTTTACTTCATAAAATGAAACTATGTTGAGTGACTAAACTATGCAGAGTGAGAAATGCTGAAAGAATAACTCAAACATATTACCTAATACAGATTAGAAGAATGTTTTATCGATATGTAATATAAATGTGTCTAAGAATGTGACTCAAAAGAGAACTTCCATCCTTCAAAGATTGGTTTAAACACCATCTCCACCCAGAAGCCTTTCCTGAGCCCACCTGGATTTAATTTCTTTCTTCCTAGTGATTTATCCTACCTCTGGTATGGCAATGATTACTTTTTATCATGCCCCATCTCCCACACCAGACTGTGTCATTTTCTAAAGTACTCTCTACATTATCTAGAACTGTGCTTTATGCAACAGAAGCATTAAGTACGTCTTTATAATTGAAAAAAATGCATAGAAATTTATTTGGTATGTCCTATTATTGCAAATAAGATGGTAAAAAATTATTGCTAAAATGTTTCTCTTAATGCAGAAATACATATTTTTAAGATATTTTGCAAACATTTTTGGTTTTTGTTTCAGCGAGCACAAAATGTGCAATTAATAAATTCTATTTTGTGATTATGGCATTAATATTTTAGCCAAATATATAATAAATGGTATCAATATAAAATATAGACATACACGGAGCAATTATAAAATATGTCAAAATAAGGCTGGATATAATTAATTATTAGAAGCATAGCACTTATTGATGACAAGGTATCCTATGTGGAAAATATATATTAGAATTATTCCCTAGAAGACCTCATAAGTTGACACTTGTCAGCTTAATGAAATTATAATAGTGAAGGGTATGACTATCAGCTGTATAGATTCTGACATAGGTAACATATGTTTCTTTTTTTTTGAAGTACCATACTATACCATAAACTAAGGCCTCAAGAGTGATGTATTATATCAGAATCCAAGGAAATTAATTTGTAATGCTAAATTGCAATTATCTCTATTTTCTTGCATGGGCCCTTCCAACCTCAATTTCTCTGACTTTTCCCTTAAATAGAAAACGTTGTTATTTTTCTAGGATTGAGGTATTTCATTGGCTAATATTAAAATAAAAAATCAGAATCAATCAGAAAGGTGAATCAAATTCATCTTTCCTTCCTATTTATATAGACTTCCTGGCTTCTCATAAAATAGTCCATGACAATAACAATTTTGAGATGAGCTTAGTGTAGGTTGAAAAATATAAAAAAGAAAACATAATTTTAAATGAATGGATAATAGAGTAAATGGAAATTACTTTTTATTGTACAAACAATTATCTTTTTTCTCTATTAAGAAATGGAATTGGCCGGACGCGGTGGCTCACGCCTGTAATCCCAGCACTTTGGGAGGCCGAGGCGGGCGGATCACGAGGTCAGGAGATCGAGACCATCCTGGCTAACACGGTGAAACCCCGTCTCTACTAAAAACACAAAAAATTAGCTGGCAGCGGTGGCGGGCGTCTGTAGTCCCAGCTAGTCCCAGCTACTCCAAGAGGCTGAGGCAGGAGAATGGCGTGAACCCAGCAGGCGGAGCTTGCAGTGAGCCGAGATAGCGCTACTGCACTCTGGCCTGGGCGAAAGAGCCAGACTCCGTCTCAAAAAAAAAAAAAAAAAAAAAAAAGAAATTGAATTATTTCTGATGTTTAGTAATGAGTTACATTACTTGCCTTTATGTGGACTAAATATTGTTATTTTTATGTATATTTAAAAGTGGGAAAAGATTATGTATTTAAAAGTAGGAAAGATTTGCATTGAAAGTTTAGGGTTGATTCTCCTAACAATTTTGTACTAATGTTTTAGTGATATATGTATTTTTTTTACCATTAACAACTGTGGTGTCAATTTATTCATGTCAATATTCATTTTAAATAATAAAATTTCATTTTTGTTTGTAAGTGAAATAAATGAGATAATAAAAATACAAGATTATCACACCAAATTTACCATATCCTTTGTGTTTTTAAATGGTATTTAGTAGTTGCTTCAATTTTTTCTGTCCCTTTCTGTATTTAAGGAATATAGTTTGGGTTCTGGAGCCTGATGGCCCAGGTTCATATTCAGATGCCTCCACTAAATGAACTAATGACTTTGATTAAGATACTTAATTTATTAAGATACTTCATCCTATTTTCTTACATGTAGAATAGGGAAATAATAGCACTCAACTCATTGGGTTAACATGTCCCAAAGAAGGGTCATGATGGGATGAGGTAAAACCTCTGAGCCATTAGCACAATACCCACCATAATAAATAATAAATGTTAAAAATTCTCTACTATTTGTAAGCTAAAAATAATAGAAGCAGAAAAAACTGTCCTATTAAAGTATTCTTTATATAGAGGATAATTTAACAGAGTTTACCTATTTTTCTCTCTCAATGTGGTAAAAATTTTTGTATATTCTAAGTAAAGCATTTTTATAATTATTGCATTCTTCATTCATTATTTAAATCACATAGAAGCAACTCATAGCCACCTCATGCTGTCCAATCTAATATTTCAGAATTTAAAGATTTCGGTAAACTGTTTTAATTTTTAATCATTCTTTTCTTATTTTAAGTTGATTCTCAGTCTATCCTTTCTTAGGACATAGCAAGCAGAAGTTCTCAGACAGTCACACACTTTCCTATTGTGGTTCCTTATTTTTCTTTTCTTTCTTACTTTCTTTTTTTTGAGATGGAGTCTTGCTCTGTTACCCAGGCTGTAGTGCAGTGGGTGATCTTGGTTCACTGCAACTTTTAACTCCTGGGCTCAAGCAATTCTCCTGCCTCAGCCTCCCGAGTAGCTGGGACTACAGGTGTGCACCACCACACCTGGCTAGTTTTTGTATTTTCAATGTAGACGGGGTTTCACCATGTGGGCCAGGCTGGTCTCAAACTCCTGACCTCCAGCGATCCACCCACCTCAGCCTCCCAAAATGCTGGGATTACAGGCGTGAGCCACCACATCCGGCCCCCTTATTTTTCTTATACATTTTGGTTACTTTCCCTGCTGTTGTTGATCCTCTCTATTGCTTTCTGCTCTTTTGAAAAATGTTATTAGATAAAACTATTAGACAATGTCAATGAAATTTAATAAAAATGTTTATTTTGGCAAGTTAAAAATCTTTATGAGTACATTGGAGGTCACCCTCACTTGCTTCTATCATTTTTAAAGCTAATCCTTAGAGTCTATAAAAAAACTCATTTGTTTCCAGCTTTTATCTATGTCATAACAATATTCTTACCAAAGGCAGTGAGTGATTGCAGTTGAATGGTATGGAGGTATTAATAAGAATAGGTACCATTTATTAAGAATTACATGGTAAGCACTTTGCATTGATTAATGAAATTTTCACAACAACCCTAGCTACTTTACAGTTGAAGGAACTGAGATTCAAGGAGTTTAACCTGCAGTCACACAGCTGGGAAGTGACTGAGCAGGGGCCTAGACACAGCTTTAACTGACTCAAGATTTCTTTACTAATTAACTAAACCAGTGATTCTCAAATTTGGAAAATTTTGTTCCTTAAACAAGGAGTAAAATTATTGTTTCTGTGAAACAGAAACCTTCCCATTTTTGCAGTGTTATTTAGGACACTGGTCTATATATATATATATGTGTGTCACTGGAAATCATTTCCAGTGTCCAAGTTATCAGGACTGTATCATGATGTAAAGGAAATTTTGTTCCAACTTGGTCTAGTTTCCTCCAATTTAAGGTAGTGACACTTGTAGCAATTTGCCCTTCCTCAATCATTAGAAAAGGGGAAGAAGGAAAGAAAAGGTAGGAAAGGTAAGGAGGTGAAAATGTAAAATGAAATAAAATAAAGCCCGAATATATCCTGCCCCCTCCCCACCCACCCATTCACTGTCTTCCTTTTTCCATCTATTTTCAGTAAGATATGGTGGTATATTTACATAACTATATTTAGATGCAGAATTTCTCCTGTATAAATTTTCCCTGGTGAAGGTTAATGCATGACTTGTTTTCGTAGAGTAAAAGAACTGTGGTTGCAAATTTGTAAGGGTAGGTTGATAGTTTAAAAAATGAGCACAATATGCTATGTTCTTAGGCAACAAATTCATTCCAGCCTTCACTGAATGTGAGCACAAGAATTGCCACATTTATAGGAATAATCCCCAAACTAAAGACTCTATGTCTGTAAATAAATAAGTCCTTTTTTAAGGTAAGCAGAGACTCAGCAGGTACTCTTGAGGATCTGCAGCATGAGGAAATGCATGGATATTGAGCTGTGTATATGTGTCATTGAAAATCATTACCAATGTGTAAGTTAAGAGATCAGGACTATATCATGATTGTAAATAAAGTTTTGTCCCAACTTAGCCTAGGTTCTGCTAATTGAAGTCTAGTGGCACTTGTAGCAATTTCCATCCATCAAATATTACAATAGAGAAGCAAAAAATGTATGAAGGATGGAGAGGAAGGTGGAGATGTATTGTAACATTCCATTAACAATTGATTTGACTGGTTATGCTATTTTATAGGTACATGTAAATAATCTGTTTATAGAATGTGAGAGCCATTACTTTGAGGGTCCAGGCAAGGTCATCTTTCTCCAGATTGGAAGAGCATCAAATATTTGTAGAGTTCCTCAGCTCTTTGGTGCCCTCATCACCTCTTGTTCCATTGTCTTTTGTCAGTCAGTCTGCTAGTGTCTGGTCCTCAGCAGCTTCATGTTACAATCTGGGACATTCATAAGAGAAGATACAGGCATTGTGGAGAGGGTTAGGGGTTGGAGAAAATTTGAGAAGACAAAATTTGGGAGTCAGATTTGGCAATGTCCAGAACATAGCTAAATATACATAAGTGTTTTGGATTTCATTATTGTATTTATTTACATTTGTTTTTTTTTCCCAACACTGCTAGTCTCTACTGTGACAACTTCCAGATGACATCTTCTGACTGAGAGTTTGTAGCCTATGCACACACAGGCAAATAGGTAGAATCTAAAGTCACATTGTTTATTAATGACTTAATCTTTGAAAAACAAGTGCTATTAACTAAAGAGGATTTTTTTTTTTGGGAGATGCTACAAGTGGAATGCTGAATCTGATACTCTGACAGGAGACACTTAGTCTTCCACAGTGACCCATTTTGAGTTTTATATGCATTCCTTGAATTGTGAAATTAAAAAAAAGTTATGTACTTGTTTCAAACTATTCATATTTTAGTTGAGAATTGTGTTGTAATATTCTGTTAACAATTTATTTAACTGGTTATATTATTTCATATATACAAGTAAAAGTTACATAAACTATGATTTTACATATTGTATGTGTATATGAGGAGGAATAGGTTTTTAGAAGATTAAAATACTGTTTAGAATTCTGCTAAAGTAGAAGAGGTTTCTGTCTTATGTAAATTAAGAGGCTTAAAGCTGAGTACATACTGAAAAGACTTATTTGACTTGTGCAACCAAATATTGGAGTATGTTATCTATATGGTTAAGGAGTGAACTGAAATATAAAGTTTAACTTATAACTTGAAATTTTTTCATCCGTGATACTGAAATTAAGTAGGGTAAATTAGATCAGCTAAGTATTATTCTACTGTATCTCTATGTCATAAAGATGTGCACACATCTATGTTGAAGACCTATTGTATTTTGTAGAAACTGCTATTAAAATAAAATCTTAATACGCTGTAATGTAAGCCACCCTGGTTTACATTTACATTTTTTTAAATTATACTTTAAGTTCTAGGGTACGTGTGCACAACGTGCAGATTTGTTACATATGTATACATGTGCCATGTTGGTGTGCTGCACCCATTAATTCATCATTTACATTAGGTATATTTCCTAATGCTATCCTTCCCCCCTCCCCCACCCCACAACAGGCCCTAGTGTGTGATGTTCCCCTTCCTGTGTCCAAGTGTTCTCACTGTTCAATTCCCACCTATGAGTGAGAACATGCGATGTTTGGTTTTTTGTCCTTGCGATAGTTTGCTGAGAATGATGGTTTCCAGCTTCATCCATGTCCCTGCAAAGGACATGAACTCATATACATTTACATTTTTATTTTCCTACTTCCAGTCTCCCATTCTCCATTCATTTAAACACTTGGAGAAAAACAGAGAAATGCAAGATTTTTGTTCAGCCATTATAGCCCAGATGCATTACGTGTATTAATATTACCTAAATAAATTCTCAAAGCAACTCTGATACAAAAGCAACCTGAATTTTTCAGGTGAGGAAATTGAGGCACAAGAAGAATGAGAAACATGCTCCTTCATATCATTAATGAGTTTACGATTTGGAAATAGGAATCAGCTTCATGTGACTCCAATAATGGTGATATCTTCTACTGATACAATCTTATTTTAAAATCTCTGATAAAAATTTATTTCCTTGATTTAAAAATCTGATGACTCTTAACTCCTTATTGTTATAAAGTTAAAAATTCTTAGCATGACATTTAATATCCTCCTTAATCCAGCTCCCTCTGTATTTCTCGAGTTGTCTCACTACTTTTCTTCTCTTGTCTTTTATCTATTCAATATGGACTATTTTCCTAAACAAGACTAGTTGTACCCCCCTTTAACAATCTGTGCTGTTCATTCCCACTGAAATTATTTTCTCTTCCTTTATACATATTTCTTGATATTTTATATCAATCAAGTCCTAGGATCAATGCCACCTCCTCCATGAAGCCTTTCCTCATCTCTCTTAGCCAAGCCAACTATTGCTGCATCTCTTGTTTGAAACTTATGCAATCTGATCCTATGCTATAGTTATTTGTGCATCTGTCTTAACTCCTTTATCAAATTCTTGGAAAAAAAGAAACTCATATTTTCCACAGTGCTTCATGTAGCTCTTGATACACAGTAGATGTTCAATAATTATCTCCAATGAATGAATGAAAGTGATTGACAAATGAAGAGAAACTTTAGATTTTGTGCTGTGTTAGTGGGGTTCTTTTTTTGTTGGTTCTCATAGAAATTTTCAGAACTGCTAAAATGAGAGTTGCTCACATTAGAATCTCCAAATGTGATTCTCAGGATAGGTCTGGAATAGTAATAGGTAAAACAACCCACTTGTACACGCATGGAAACATTCCAAAATGTCACAGATCCTGGATTTAAAAACAATGACGATTACATTAATATGGAAAACACATGCCGTAATTAAGGATGTATATGCATGTGTGCATGCACTATCTTAGACTTTTTTATTGGATTGACATAGCTACTTACCAAAGAATAGAACCATTTGTGACACAGAATGTTAGGATAATTTGTCAGTAACACATGCATTGCTACAAGTTATAACAGTAAAAAAAATATTATAAATTAAGGCACCCATGGGTCATTCAACTCGGCTGGCAATACACCTGAACAAAAAAGGAGTGCTGGACTTAATCTCCAAGTCTGTCATTTATTTCTTTCGCACAAAAAGTATGGGACACAGGTGGTCAGAAGTCAAAGATCATACTCTGCTTGAACGCTCCATAAGGCACAGTGCAAATGTATGAGACCTGCTGGGTGAAATCAAAAAGTCACTGGAATGGGGTGCAATTTTAGTGACCCAGGTCAAAGGTCATACTGCTTTTGGTGTTATACAAATGTTTGACAGATTAAATACCCACCTCCTAGGGATAACAAATAGGCCATGGAGCTAAAAGTATTCATAAGCGTTAAAGCTTCATTCAGAATTCTCCTTATGAAGGATGTAGGTCATATAAGATTAGTAATATGGTTATAATAATTTTTCCCATTGTTGAAAAATTATGCCCTGGCTGATATCTCTGAGTGTAATTGCAGATGTAGAAAAAAGAAAAAAAAAGTGAAGAAAAGCAACAATGACTAGAAATATTGAAGATTAGAAAAAGAGAAAAAAAGCAACAGTTATGTCCAGACCTTTCTTTTCTTGAAATATAGCAATACCTGTTAAAGCATTTTTTCATATTTTGTCACTTTTTTTTCTTGCATGCAGGGTCATTTTATCACTAATCCATGTAAATTATTTTGCTGATATTCAGCATTTTGCATAGTTGAATACCTCTAGGAAGTTAATATGTTTATAAAGATATGTTTGGCAAGTAATCTGGGGGTGTTACCAGGACAATGAAATAAGTAATGTATGGAAAAGTGCTGTATGCATATTGTAAAATCCTCTGAAATTAGGGCAGTATTATTATTTAACACAGTTATTCTTTATCCTTATTTGAACTCTTGGAAAAATATGTACACAAAATTAGTTTCTGTTGTAATGTGCTTCTATATTTTGTAGTACTCTTTTACAATTTGAAAATAATAATTTACCTTCCTTTGTAGTTTTATCTAAGTAAATGGTGCAAATTATGGTGACTCAGAATCACCTGGAGGGCTTGTTAAACCATAGATTGCCGGGCTCCACCCTACAGTTTCTGATTCATTAGGTCTGGGTGGGTCTAAGAACTAGTATTTCTAACAAGTGCCTGCAAGATACTGATGAATCTAGGCTAGAGACTGTACTTTGGAAACCACTGATTTAAGCATTGTGCCATGATAGTAGCCTAAAGAGTGAACTAATTCACTTAATAATCTAGATCTGTTCAAATATGATAATATTTTATGTATTTTATGACTTGTCAATGTAATGATAATACTTTATTTAGTTTTCACTTTCATCTGGATACTTTATAAAAATGTAGATTCAGAATTTGTCTTTCTTCCCAAGCTACGTATCAACATCAACATTGTTTTCTTTAATAGTTGCTCTTAGAAGATCCCAAAACCATTTTTTTAAAGAGTATTAATTAATTTACTTGAAACTTGTTAAATTCACTATCAATATCATTGTCATTGTTCTTTGACATTAGAGATAATGATGATCACATTTCTACCAGAAAGAATGTCACTAGAATCTCCAGGCATTTATTTTATGAATTAAATCATGTTTGTCTGCCTATACACTTACATATTAACTGCTGTTTCAGGATTTTACTGTGTGTAACTTCTTTTTTTATTGTAAGTGGTAAAAGCTACCTCTGTCTCCAATGTTTTTATTTTATATTTGTTATTATCTGCTTTTTTCTCAGAGGGCAATGCCTTTGTCACATAGATTTTATATCTTTTAACAGTAATCCCAAGTTACTCTGGTTTTAACATATAACATGGAAAGGGCTTAGAGAAATGATGCCAAAGTAATTTACCTCTTATATGCACCTGGAGAGGTGAGACGCATTGAATCTATTGTCAGTAGTAGACTTTGTATACCAAAGTAACTTATTTATGTTGTTTTATACCAAGAGGTAGACAGAAAGATGGTGGACATGTAGGGATATAGGATGTGAATGAGACACAAAACCCTTAGCAACACATCAAAATGCTACAGGTGGTATTAATATTGGTTTAGTTTGCTATTGATTTTTCCCTCATTTTCTCCTCTGGTTATGTAGTTTACTTTGAGGCCATTTCTCTGTTGATTTTTTTCCTAGGTCATAAGATAGAGGAAAGCACATAATAGCCTTGGTGACCATAATTTTTCAATTTATAGTAATTCTCACCACACCTCATTGTAGATGAAAACTTCTAGTTATTTCAATCATCATTTCAATAATTCTTCATGTTTAAGATATTGATTTGTTAAATTCTTCTAGACTTTTTACTTACACAAACACACACACACACACACACACACACACACACACACCCCAGTGCTTTCAGTCTTAAAAAAAGAAGCAGGAAAGGATGACTAACAGGCAAGTCAAGAAATATGGTAAATATAAAAATATGTGCTAAAAGCACATTGTGCTTAACTTTGCTTTTTAATAATCCCTTGGAAACCTAGACATGACATCCATTATTAGATTTTCAAATTTATTTTTATTTTTAGCATAATACGTATATTTATGTAAAATATAGAGATAATACAAGTGAATTTTCATATTGAGAATAAAATAAAAATATTGAGAATAGAGACAATATAGAGAAAGCATTATGTAGGACATTGGTATGTGTATGAGAAGTGGTAAAAACAAAACAAAACACAAAGTGCAGACGCAGTGTACATTTTTTCTCTTCTGAAATGTTATCGAACATGATAAATATGACCACAAATATGATAAAAATGTTACTCTCCAAAAATGTTATCAAATAAGACTCTGTATGCCTCAGTTGCCTCAGACTCACTTTCTTCTACTGTAAAATTCACATTCAGAACCTTATCCATCCCGTCGAAACTGTAGGTGCAATCTTATAACTGTGTGTTAACAAATCAGCTGACTTTATTTGAAGATTGCATTTTTTAATAAATTTTTTTATTTCATCTTTACTGCTGCCATGACAATGAATTTATTAAAATCTTCTCCCAAATGATTTAAATTTCAGACTTATCTAGTATATTGGAAAAAGTTTTTTTCTCAATTAAAAATTATGAGAGAGGAGGAGGAAAGTGGTAATGATGTGCAGAGGTCTATGTCTGTGTTTGTGTGTTTCTCTCCATGTGTAAGTTTGAATGTATGTCCTCACACATTCAATACTATTGAGAGAAAGTCAGGGGATAATTACTTGTGAGGAAATTCCCATAATCTCATGGGAAAGTCTATCCTGAAAACAAATGATCCTTCTTCACCCATACTATTTATTGATACTGTGTATTTATGTTTAACTCTAATATACTTCCATTGTTTATATTATAGTTTATTTCTTCCTCAGTCTTTTTATTCATTAGTCTATAAGCCCTGATTCATTTTCTTCAGAAAAATAATCAAATTCCATACCATACATATAGGACATATAGGGTCTAGGCAACAAATTTTGATGAACTAAATTATTATCCCATTTCAGTCTTACAGTTGTATTCTCTAAAGGGGAAGAGAGTTTGGTATTACATAACTAGATCTCTTTTCTCAGCCACAGAAATATGTAGATGGGATAAAGTAAATAATAGTAATAAATGACATATAAAAATAAATGCAATATTTGGCAATATTCACACCAAGAAATTTATCTGGATTCACTCATCTTCCTGCTTCCAGTCATTTAAGCAAATGGAGATCTTTTTTAAAAAACTGAAAGTTGATGTTAAAACTGACTCAAAAATAGTGTAATGGTATCCAGGTTAAATATTCCTAAGACAAAATAAGGCATTGTTTTATTCAGCACATAACTTGAGTTGTAGCAGCTTCTAATAAGGAAGTTCCCTGTGAATGGCTGAAAGAGATTTTTCAATTGATATCCTTACATAAATCAGCTCTACAGATATTGAATTATACTTTTCAAAATTAGGCTAAGAAAATGAAATCTTCCTAAGTAGTAAGTATATTGATTATTGTTTATCTTATGTAATTTTCTGAAATACTGCCAAATAGGGTTTAAAGATCTGAATCTTTAGTTATCTTTTCTTATTTTTCTGCTTTTATGGGTTGTTGCAAAAGAATGCATGCTTCACAGAGCTGAGGAAAACAGAATTACGGTCACACCAAGCAAGGGCCAAGATGTGGTCAAAACTTAGAGTTAGCACAGCCCGGAGTTGCCTATCTCCAGGTGAATTGTTGTCTATGGGATGCATTTTCAAACGGTAATTCTCTCCTGTTGGTTGTCAGAAAAGCATAGTTCATTTTTTTTCAGAAAGATATGTTTATAATACTTATATTTCTTTAATCTATAAGATAAAGCTGAAGACACAGTCTACTTACAAAATATGAAATTAACCTGGAGTTATATAAACATGCCAAAAGAGGAAAGAAATTTACACTGGAGCTGTAGCGAGACATTGAGGTTTGGAAGCAGAAACAGAATTAATGTAGAGAGAAGATGCCATTGATAGAACAGTCCACATCAGAAAATCTCTGCTCTTGACAGCAAGAAAAGTTCTCTAAGTAGGTAAAGACACTTTAAATCCTATGTAATCCATTTTCTTCATGTTTTCCATGTGTCCTGGTTCTGTAGTTTTGGGTTCCTATGAGACCTGATGCCATTTTGGCACTTACTGTTTTCCTCCTATTCACACAGATCCTGATGTGAAATTGTACATTACTTGGAGTAATTTAATGAAGATTCTTTCTTGCCACTAAAAGACCATAACTACAGCAAAGTTCATTTACTTTATTATCAGTGGTTGCTTTTTTGAAAAAGGTGTCAATATTCTGCCTAAGTGCACTTGATATACTAAGAGATTAGTGAACAAAAACAAATCCAAATCCCTTTTTAGAATTATAGCTTATGAATTTATTTTAAATTGTCTTCAAAGTTAAAATATAATAATTACTGATTACAACATTGGATCAGTCGTGCGAATATTCTGTGTCTCTACATTAACTTTGCATAGTTTGATTGAAATATCTTATTATAAACGGCTGAATTATTTACACTAACCTGATGAGGTGAATTGTTACAAATGAGCAAATAACAAACCATAAATAAAGGAACATTAATGTTGAAAAAGGAAGGGTTAAACTAGGTAGTTATTGCATAAGGTATGTAAACCCAGAGTTAAGTGACTTGCCCAAGGAGCTTGGCTGAACTTCTCTAACTAAAAGGTACCACAGTCTTCTATTTCAGTCCCAGCACCAGAGCTTGTTAATAAGGCCATCAAGGCTCTGAACAGTGAGGGGTGCAATAACATGCAATCTATAGGTCAGAAGGGGGAAAAACAGATCCTTTCTATCCCGTTTCAGGAGCTTTTAATGTAATTGGATTTAGATTCATACTTACAATCCCTTCACCATATGAAAGCTGCCTGGAAGAGCAATTAAGTGTATGGGCTTTCCCATCTGCTTTAGTGGGTCAACAAGCTCTGCCATATAGTGATTTTGTAACTTTAAAACTGTACTTCCTTTTCCATATCTAAAAAACATGCAGCCAAGAAATAAGCCAATTTTGAAGAGTTAAATAGGAATCAAGAGAGGTAAACGTAAATGTAAACTATCTGATGCATGATAAGCACTTACTAAATAACTAATACGAGAAAAATATGCAATATATTCATGTTTTATATATATATATATATCAATCTAATCTATCTAGTTATTCAGCCTCCTTCTATTTATCCATCTACCATCTACCTCGTTACAAAAGGCATTCAACGTGGACAAAACCATTCCACCAAAAGAAAGCATGTAAGTCTTTTTGGAAGTTATTAGGGTGTTCAGCAATTTTTAGCAGCTACCTGAATTTGATGCTATATGTCCTGGACTTTGCTCTAAAAATGATATATACATGACTTCATGTGAAGGCCATGCATAGATAAAAACACAAACTTGAAAATGGGAATAAATTAAAATTTCTTCTCCCTGTGTAATGTCTTCTTAGTGGAGTGGAGCATGTTTTTTTGAGCAACAGCACCCAGATTTGTAAGACATCAAACTAACTGCTTCATTAGGCCTGTTTTTCTCATGGTAATTTTGGCAGGATTAAGATGCCATGAGCTACTCAGGAAGGAAAGTAAAATGAGAAAATACAAAAATAGCTACATTAAAGTGTGGCTTAAGAAAGAGGTAAAGCCCAGTAAACGTGGAGGTTAGTGAGAAGTGGGCAGATGATTCTACTTGGTGAAAATCATCATTGACTGCAATTCCAAACAGGCATCATGAAATTGTGCCTAGATACATGAGTTTAGATATTGAATGAAGACTTAAAATATTGAAAGAAGCAGCAAAATTCCAAAAGAAATGTTGTGGATGTAATGTACTGTGATATTTTGTGGGGGTTTTACATGTTTTGCATGTTATTAGCTACCCCAGATGAATGGATTTGCCTCAGAGCCACACAATAAATCATCGTCAGAGTTCGTTGTGATAGTTACTATTTATTAATGCCTGTGTTTCATACTGAAATGTCTTTCTGTGCTTACTTGCTCGTCTTTCTTTGCATTCCACTGATCATCAATCACAAAAGCAGCTTGGCCATTTCTCTCTGTCTTGCCTCAGTGAACTCCTACTTTCCTTGATTGTTAACCCCTTGCTGGAATGCACATGGCCTGTATGCCTCTCTGGGCTTCTATTCAACTCTCCCAATGGGCCTCTCTTCCTGGCACTGAGCTGCAAGGCAATATTTTCCATCTGTTGAATGAAGAGCATGACACAGGCAGTTTGATATGGTTTCAAAAACCACAGCAAACCAGTGATGCACAACTCACTTTTATTCCACAAGCCTGTGGGAGCCCAAAAGGATAAGAGGCCTTTCTGCTAGGCTGAACACAGAGCCTGGCATTCAGAAACAAATATTCCTCCCCGAAACACTCAATATGCTTCATATTCAAGCCAGAAACATTGTGCGTTAGAATAATCTAAAGATGAATCTAGTCGGAAGTTATCTTGAAATGTGTGAGCAAGCTTCTCTTTCATACACCAGCTGTTTTCTTTCCATCAAATGTTTACTGGGTGGGGGATCAGCCTGTGTTTTTTTTAATGCAGTAGCAAGAATGTTTTGTGTGTTCTGAAAGAACCTATGAGGCCTTTCAATGTAGAAGGGAGGAAGAATGGTTCATCATGAGTTCAGGGAAATTTTGGAGTCTCTTATAATATCACATCCTCAAATTTGGGAATATTTTTTCTTTATAAAGCATGTTGAAAAATTATTTCATGGCTGCTAGTTCCCAATGTCAGACTGTTTGTGACAAAATTGTTAAAATAGCATTGCTATGGGTATAAAAAAATTTCACAAGCATTTTGTAATGTGCCATGGGATTTATAATAAGTTTTAACATATATGATTTCCTATTTTATCCACTCAAGGAAAAAATTATGTTGTTGGATATTTTTAATAGGTTCATTAGCTTTAAAAATCAAAATAAGGAAAATATTCTTGGTAATGGGAAAATGTTGTTTAATGACATTCACTTACTTAAAACATGTTAATTGCTATAAGCATATCAAGAATCAAAGTATAATTTCTGGTGTGGTTTTCAGGACTCTTATGAAGTCCCAAACTCACTCTTGTCAAACAGTATAATTCATCCTAAAATATCCAAATATTCTAGCATCTCATCTACTGTTCTCTCTGTCTGAAATGCCCTTTCCTATCAATTTTCTGTATTACAGTTCTAACCACTACCAAAGATACTTTCTAAAAACTAAGTTTAAAAAGAGTTAAGTTTTTAAAATCTTCCTTAGCTAATTGGTTCTTTCCAATCCTCCCCTCCAGAAATAATCACATTTTAACTATTTGATGGTTTGAATAGCATTTGCATATCATTTTTGACAATGTAGTTTGAAACTGCAGTGATATCTATCTCTTATTGAACATGCACTGCTTTCAGACTCTGCTAGATGGGCTACTATCCCTACAGTTTTTTTGAGACTACTATAATATTATCATTTCCATTTACAAATAAGGAAACAAAGTTCAGGAAACATTAATAAATTTGCTCAAGGTTACTTAATACTCATTGGTGAAACGCATTTGAATCCAAATGTACCTGACTAAAAAGCCTTTTTTTTTTTTCTGTTCTAGTTTTGTGGATGTTTTTTTGTGGATATGCACTGATAGCAGGGCCTGATCTTAATCCTTCTAGATTTCAACTCACCTACTTCTGCACTGAACTTTACTGCACTAAATTGAATCTGTAAAATTCCAGCCTAGTTTATTAGAAAAATGGAATAAAACTACCATTGGTTCTATTTAGACAGTTGTCTCAGATTCCACCACTTTTACATATGAAATAATAATTCTAATATATATAGATGAAATGCATATGGATTTTATGTATGCATGTGTAGGTGTGTGGTATTACAATCCACAGATTATTTAAGACAGAAGATAATTTATGTTAAATACCTGTCACTCACATTTTCTCAAATTTACTGAATTCTTAATGTTAATTTTGGTGGTTAAAAGAAGTCATAATTTTTACCTGTTCAATGTTCTTTATTTTATTTTGGTACTATTTGGTTAGTTGCTTTTTCTGAGAATTTCTTTAATTTTTAAAATTTGTCATGAATTAATTTATAGAAGGTAGGTGTGATTTATTTGCCATGAGCATTGAACTTTGTTTCTTGAAAACAAATAACACTAAGATCTTTGAGAACCTACACGTATTTATGGAAACTATGAGGGTGGTGGGAGTAGCTTAGAAACAATGACAACTATAGCCTTTGAACCAAAGAAATATTTTTAAATTTTCTCTATTCAACGTCTGTGCCAGCATGTGTTGCCTCTTAGGCAATAAACAATTATGGTTACGTAGACACCTAACACATTATTTATCCTGTTAAAGTTTGATTTAAAAATCTGTGGCTATACCAATTTCAATGTAATTTAGGTATATATATATGTAATTTACAGTATATATATGTGTGTGCATGTGTCTTTGTGTGTACATCTTTAAGAAAAAAGTTATTAACTTAATTGTGCAAAATCCATACTGTTTTGGTTCCTCTCTTCTTTAAAATGTGATAAAACTTACATAGGTCATCAACGTTGAGCATTCTTACAAGTATAAATTTATAACAGTGTCATTTGGTAATAAAATTCTTAAGTATAAGATGCAGTCTATGCCATAAAAACATCTACAGTCTATTTGTGTATTTATGTGATTATTGAAAGAGATAAAACAACACTTCCCCTGGCTCCAGTCTTTCTTGTTTCCAAACCATCCTTTATTGTCAATTAGAGGAATTTTTCTAAAACACAAACATTAATATAATCTATTCCTGCTTGAAGTTCTTCATGAACTCCATGACTTCTATGATAAAGTTCAGATTTGTTGGTTTAGCAATCCATATTATTCTTGACACAGTTCCTGCCCACTTCTCTAGCCTTAACATCATCCTAAATACACCCTTGATGACAAGACATACTTCCTTTGGTTTCCTGAATTCAACAAATTATTTGGGGAAATCTGGAGACATTTAGTGAAGGAAGTGATGTTTAAAATGGCTCTTAAAG
Source organism: Homo sapiens (assembly GCF_000001405.40). NCBI lineage: Eukaryota > Metazoa > Chordata > Mammalia > Primates > Hominidae > Homo > Homo sapiens. Next base: position 80,786,917 of record NC_000013.11, read on the forward strand.
GAGATCCGGAGACTGACAAGTGGAGCAAGGGGCAGTGGGTGCAGGTGTGCCTGGTATGAGGTGTTGAGCATTAGGACTGAGGGCTGGTACGAGCAGAGGGGAAGATATTGGTAGTAAAGGGAAGAGAGAGAGTTTCTTAGAAGAGTAAATGGATTGTGAGCTAGTACCTGGATGAGGGGGAGGGGCATTGTGTTCTAACTCACAGATTGCCAGAACCCATTTAGAGTTGGAAGGGGCCTCAGAAATCAAAAAAAGGGGATGAAGAATAAGAAGAGAAGAAACGAGAAGGAGGAGAATAGAAAGAAGTAAAATAATAATAAGGAGAAGAAACAAAGTAAGCTTAATCCTTTAATAGAATTCACCTTTACAATTTCATTTCATATTAACATTATTTCAGCAAAAATATGTTTCTGTTAATATGAAATTCACCTAACTTTATTATACTTTTGGATACTAGGTACCTCCCTAAAGGCATATAAATCATTTCACATTTAACATTGTGAAGCAATGATCATTACACATTTAAAACTCAACAGTTAGTAAAGTTCCAACAATTTATACCCTTAGTGCTCATGGTTAAATGTGTATCGTAGCAACTGAAAATCACAAACCTATTTTCTTATTTATAATTGCTGAACAGTGGTTCATGTCACGGATTTCTTCTGCTGATAATTATTTAGTACCGTCGATAGGACATAGTGGAAGTAAATATTTTAAAATACAGTAACGTATTTCTTTCCCAGAGTTATCCTAGCATTACATAGCTCTATATCTCCCAAAACTTCTCCAACACATTTACAAAAAGCTTTGAGAGAGAACAGAAGAAAAACTGATTCTCATTACTCTTTTGAAGTTCAATCTAAAAACAAAAGATGAGTCAGAAATAACTTATTTCTGAGCCAGCTTCCTATCATCATTAATGAAGTTATCTTTGTCTCCATGAGTTAATAGTTCATTATTCTGATTTAATAAAGAAAGTTGATGGTTTTAAAGACACTGTTTTCATTTCAGGCTAGTAAAAAGTAGATAATAAATTATCAATAGACCACAAAAATGAATGTATAAATCTACTGTGCTGTTTTTATTGTGCTTTAGACTCCTTAAATTCCTGATGTATTAATTATGAATTGCATAAATTCATTAAAATATTTGTCTAGGCTTTGAAATTAAATTAACAATGTAAAATAAACTGATTTTGCTGTTTTTAATTTGAAGTGAATCTATTTTTTTAATATTAAGTAAGATTTTGTTAAATGTATCAATTTACAAAGAAAATCTAGAAATAGACTTTAGTAAAGTTTTGAAATCATGATTTTTATCAACTTTTTTTGGATTGTATTTACAAAATACTTCTTGATAAAATATAAAGTAAGTGTTTCTGTACGAAGACTGAAGAGTAGCAATCATTCCCCCTTTTGTACATCTTTGAACTTTTGCAAAATCTCCTTTGATTTTGTCCTTTAGAGCCACCATTCGGTCAGTTTAACTGTCTTGGTGCTACATTTTTCTATCTAATATAATAGGTTCACTTCTATTACTTGAATTGGGCAGAAACAACTGAGTATACAGATAATAATATATTATTCCTATGAATTCAAAGGATAGGTATCATTTATATAATAATTCAAAAAAATAATATCTCAGACAGAATAACCTTCAGTCACTCTTGTTATATATTGTGAGTTTTAGGCTTTCTTTTTAATTGTTTATGTTTACATATTAAAACCTTTCTGAAAAACAGGTGCAGGGAATCAAATTCTTTGTTCCAAATTTTGTATTCCATTTGCCCTTTTATTCTTTATTTAAGATACATGCCTCCTGCACAATTGTATGGAAAACCCACAGGCCTCTTGATCAACTCCTTCGTAGATATTTTAAGCAGGAAACTTCCATGGTATGAGTGTGCACTCAAAAAGACGATTTCATCCTAAAACTAAGATTTTGTTTCTAAAGTATTTATCACAGTGTCTGTAGGGTATAAATACACAGTTGTCCCTTTTGCTTTATAGGCTTTTTGTAATTTGTTACATGTTATAATTAATTACAGATAAATTATAATTCCTTAGTGGAAGTTTTCCTTGGAATTGTAGAAATAAAGCATAGCAAGCTTGCTTACATTTTGTGATAATATATTCATTTAATACCATGAATAATCCAAAGAGTTAATATTATTTGTTAAGTAGAACAGTTAGCATATCACATCGAACTCATAGACTACTCATGAAACTCAGAGGATGAATCCTTCAACTTATGAAAAATAATTGGTTTTATTTTAGAAAATCTACCCTCGTAAATCTAACCAGTAGAGTTATTATTGCATATTGAATTGTCAACTAACTCTAAAACGATAAAACGTAAAGGTAATATAAAAGCAGATTTTTTTTATTATACTTTAAGTTCTAGGGTACATGTGCATGAAGGTTTGTTACATATGTATACATGTGCCATGTTGGTGTGCTGCACCCATTAACTCGTCATTTACATTAGGTATATCTCCTAATTAAAAGCAGATTTTTAAAGTCAGTCAACCATGTGTTTAATACTATGCTGCCTCCTCTGGAAAACATGAAAAGTTGCGATCTCATTTAAGAGTTAAGTTGTATGCAGTGAAAATAAGCAGATAATAATATATGAGAGTATAACTTCAGGTGCTAAATTTTGTGTAACAGGTTGTCGGTTATAAAATAATTGTACTGAAAAAAGATGATAAAGGTGATGTGTAGGAAAATGAAATAGTTATTTAAGATTTCTCAGAAAATAAGTGTGAGGGTTAGGATCAAATTTTATTAAGTCCCTTCATTTTCAGTCTTGCCAATATGCCAGACTGTTTTTATTTTTTTAGAAATATAAATTCAAACAATAGTATGCATATTCTGTGGACTATGTCTGGTTGACTCCAAAGAAGAGATAGCACATTTACAGGACTGCAAAGGATGGGAATGATGACTTATTAGCCTAATTCACATTCTGTGTAAGTCATAAGGAAGGCTAATTGTTGTTCATATGTTTACATATTCTCCTTTGAGAGTCACCTAAGGCAACAAATGGACTATTTTTTTCCTTTGTTTTGGTGTTATTCATCTTAGTGATACAAAACGATTTTTATTACTTCTAAATGCAATGTTTATACAGAGAGTTTGCAAATGATCATAATCTCTTTTATTATGTGGGTCACGTGATGACGATTTTAGGTCTCTGTTTTATAATAGTTTGTGCACAGGTTTCTCCTAAAGTATAAAGTCTGATTAATGACTAGAACATAGACTATTATTATTGAGCATTTACCATATACATCACATGTAAGCACCTCAGTTCTACCTCCCAACACTAAAGAGCTATATCAACGTGCACACAAGAGCTATAAGGCAGAAAGTCTTCCCTTCCAGGAATCACACTCTGCTAGTCAATGTGACCATTCACAACAACACTTAGATGTGCTTCTTTAAACATCCTACAGAACATCTCTGCTTCAGTTTCCTCCTCTGTTGACTAGACATAAGACCACTTGCTGATAAAGGGCAAAACAAAAACAAAAACAAAAAAACACACATGTGAAGACTAGTAGGAAGATAGACTATTAAGCTACTCCTACAGGTTTGAAACTTCGGCTGATTCATTTTATTGCTATCTTTATTTATATAAGCTATATGTCTAAAATCAACAATATGTTAGTTATTGGTATGAGGTAGCATTCCATAATCCATAAAGATTAAGGTCTTCTACAGTGTAATATACTGTTGCCAAAGGGAGTGTCTGAAAACATAAAACTGATCATATCATCTCTATGTTACAAATACTTTAATAGCTCTTCTTAGCCTAAAAGAACAATTCTAATCTCCCAATCAGGATGTGTAAGGGCCTTCTAAAAATGAATTCTAACTTCATTTATAATTTTATTTTCTACCACATCTCCAGGTACATGCCGAGTTCCGCTCACACTAGATTATTTGTAGCTCCTAACCCAACACATTTATTCCTTCACTTACATTTCTGAATTCCAAGAGATAGGAGATTATGATGTAATTGTTTTCTTCAGCCGCCTGAGCAATTCATGGATATACAAGACTTTAAGTCCTTGTTGCATGAACTCATAGTGTTTGGAGCTCATAAAGCAGCATCACATACATCATCTCATTTAATTCTCAACATTGTGAGTTGAGAGGGCAGGAATTATATTTTGCAAGAAACTGAGGTCGCTGGGGAGTAACTAGCTCACTTGAAATCTCAAAGCTGGTGAGTGGTGTAACCAGGGTTCTGCCACCTTTTCATTAATCCCAATGCATTTTTCATTAACACTCATTTGTATTAATAACAAAATGCAAAAATAGAAAAGTCTTTAATACTAAAATTTTTTTAGATCATTCTGCTTATTTTAGATACTAATCTTACTGCTAAGGGGATATTCTAAACATAGATAACTTTGTGTTGGATAATATACTTCAAACAATAATGAGCTTTTTCTGGTGTTTGAACCAACACCGACAAATTCAGCAATGTGTCAATGAAGCTATTAGTGCAGCACTTTTACTTATTCCCAGCTAAGCTTATGATAAGTACAAATAAATTGCCATTCATTATGGCAAAAAGAAAATTGATGTGTGATATAAAGTGTCAGGTGGAATGTGGAATACTTCTTTTTGTCCTAAATTATATTTTCATATATTTTTCAGAAGATTCATGGAGTTGATTTTCAGGGCACTTGCTTACACAATCCCACCTGTGAACAATCGTTTCTTACCTTAATGTGTCCATAACATGTGACTAGTATGATATCACTGGATATTGGGACATGATGGTTAATTTTGTATGTCAACTTGACTGGGCTATGGGGTGCCCAAATATTTCATCAGACATTTTTTTCTGGGTGTGTCTGTAGGAATGTTTTTGGTTGAGATTAACAACTGAATCAATAGACTGAGTAAAGCAAAGTAGATTGACCTCTTTTTTGTGGGTGACCCTCATCCAATCAGTTGAAGACCTGAATAGAACCAAAAGGCTGACCTTCCATGAGTATGGGCAAACTCTTCCTATCTGACAGCTTGAGCTGGGACATTGGCCTTTTATTGCTTTCAGAATCTAAATGAAACATGGGCTCTTCTTGGTTCTCAAGCCTGCTGGCTTTTAGACTGGAACTTTACGCCATTGACTTTCTTGGTTCTCTGGACTTCAGGCTTGGACTAGAAGTACACCATCAACTCAACTCTCTTGAGTCTCCAGCTTGCCAACTGCTGCTCGTAGGATTTCTCAGCTTCCATAATTGTGTGAGCCAATTCCTTATAATACATGATGTGTTCGTTCGTTCTTTCTTTCTTTCTTTCTTTCTTTCTTTCTTTCTTTCTTTCTTTCTTTCTTTTTTTCTTTCTTTCTTCTTTTTCTTTCTTTCTTTTTCTTTCTCTCTTTCTTTTCTTTTCTTTTCTTCTTTTCTTTCTTTCTCTCTCTCTGTCTCTGTCTCGTGTGTGTGTGTGTATACCCCACCCCCCCCAACACACGCACACATATTCTGCATTCTATTGGTTCTTCTTCTCTGGAGCCCTGACCAGCACAGGGGCTCACTGTTATTATGTTTTACTCCTAAATAGTTTCTTTTCTTGCTCTTTCCTTGCAGTTCTAATTGCCTTGCTCTTTCCTTGTAGTGCTCTTTCCTTGCAGAGGAAGCATAAACACAAGAGTTGAAAACATAGTGGGACTTTATGATAGCTGGGCAAATTTGGGAAAAAACTTTCCCCCTGAGTTCAGAACTCTTATTTTTTCCCACCAGTCAATTCTTATCTAGAGTGTTCCGTAACGCTGGTGTATTAGTTTCTTAGGACTGCCATAACAGAGTATCACAAACAAAATTGCTTGAAACAATAGAATCTTGTTGTCTCACAGTTCTGGAAGTGAAAACTCTGAAATCAAGCGTCAGCAATGTCATGCTGTCTCAGAAACCCATGGAGGAATCCTCGCTTACCTCTTCCCAGCTTCTGGTAATGTCTGTCAATCTTTGACATTCTTTTTACACTACATAATTCTAATTTCTGCCTTCATCTAAACATAGTATACTCCCTATATATCTCTGTCTTCTCATGACCATTTGCAGAGAGAGAGAGTAGTGAATGTGACAACTGTTTCTACTTAACTAATTTTGAGTTACTATGAGGATAAACTGAAAACTAATTTAAAGTGTTCCCAAAGTGTTTAGCATACAATAACAAGATGTCTATAAATATTACCTCTATAAATGTTGTCATTACCTCCAGTATCTGTGATATTGAGTTTGTGTGGTTATGATCATTTTTATCATTTATTTGTTTAGTTAGTTCATTCAGGGGATTGTTACATATAGATTCACTCAGGTGGGTTGGAAACACTACATTTATTCAAATAAAACCATGGCCTAGCATAAAATATCATTGATGACTCAATAGAAGGATAAATGTTTGCTATATTGTTAATTGTTCAATTAATTTCACAAAAATTATTTAGCACCTTGTGTTCATTGATGCTATTCATTTACTCTTTCTGCAGACAAATGTTTGCCACCTGCTTTGTGTCAGCAACCCTGTTGGGTGCTAAGAAATAAAGTCAGCACCTCTTCCTTCAAGGGACTCTCTATCTGGTGGTATTCCAGATAGATTGATTGATACATGAGTAATACATACTTATTGATAAATAAGTGAATCAATAATTATTACATAGAGGGGGCCACATCTAAATAGAGGGCTTTGAGGTAGAGATATTGTACATGCCTAAACGTTCTAAAGGCATGTTTGAGATAAATAAATATAAAACAAGAGAAGCATGAAGAGTCAAGCAGGATTTTTTAAAATATGGAAGATATTTTCTGACATTTATAGACTTTGGAGGCAAAAAGCAAGAATAAAGACTACTTTGCAGTTGTAATGGTGATTGAAGAAAGTTTATGGAGCCAAATAATGCAGCAGATGGAAAGGTGTAAAATCTGATACACAAAAGGACAGGTTGATTTTAAAAAAGAAAAAAGATATCTCGTTCTCTATGATAGATGGGAGTATAGATACATTTGTAAAGTTGGGGTAAAATTTGAATTAGTTCAGGTAGTGATGATTTAAGTTTTCTTCAAAGGCAATTTTCTATGATGAGGCTAGGAAGAAATTTGAATAGAAGTCTTGAGAAAAAATTTTAAGTTTTGGAATAATTTTTGAGGAAGTAGAAAGAAAACTGTTTAAGGAAAATCAATGATTATTGAGAAATATTAAATCCCCAAGGTGAGTTGACAACTACACTTTTATTTTAAGGCAAATCTGTGTATTTAAGCGAATTTCTGAGAAGTGTTCAGACAAATCTGTGTATTTGGAATAATTTCTTTAGAAGTATTTGGGAGCTGAGGCATGGTAATATTAAAATCCTAAGATTAGTAAGTCATATTATATACATTTATATTCTTAGCTTCTTAAAAATTTTTGCTGCTGAATAATTTTTGTTGTTTTTTTATTGTTGTTAATATAAAGTTGAAATCTAATTTGTTTTTTCATTTGCTTCTGCTCCAGTCACCCATAAGCCATTCATTTAGTTAGAAATTCTCAAAGAAACTTTTAACCTGCAGGGGTTCTTTCTGTCATTGTTCAAATGACATCCATTATGATCCACCGTCACTGTGTTCAGTATGTGTTGGAGAACTCTTACCTCTAGATATCCTCTCCTCACTTTGCCTCAATCATCTATTGAGAATGTGTGAATAAGAAAGTATTTATCAATATGTCATGAATGTAAAATGATACAAGCAAGGGGCCCTTTTGTTCAGTGAAGCCTCTACCAATTGGCATTGTGATTAGTACATTTTTATCATTAGTTCCATACTTTTAGTCCATTCGTACAATTCAAATACAGAAAAAAATGACTTCAAGTAAATGTTAACAGATGCTTTTACCTTTGTTTGTTCATGTGTGTGTGTGTTTTTGGATCTTTCCCCAAGAGCATATATTTACAGTAAGGAAAGGTGAATGAAGCCCTGATAGCTGTACCAGAGACTGGGAGGAGAGTAGAGAAGTGAATGAGAACAGAGAAAGCTGTTCTTAGAGACTTTCATTATAACTGCCAAAGCTGTAATCTGCTGCTTCTTCTGATAGCCATATCTCTAGTCAGTGGCTGCTCACAAAAGTAAAACAATTCAATTTGAGGTTTGGGGAAGATCAATTATAAATTAAGTCTGGAATCTGAATTTGTTAGAAGAAATATTGAAGCATGTGACAGTAACTGGAGGTGGCAGTAGTGTGAGTATAAAAGGGTATTAGTGCTGTCAGAGCATGTTTAGACATTGGGAAATATAGGTCAGCAGCTTAGAAAGGCACTAAGTTGGAGACAAGTTTGGAAAATATTTACATAAAGATAATCTCTGTCATTCAGGTTATGGACTCATGTGTTGTTTACCACTGGAGGGAGTGGAGTACCAAAAAAAAAAAAAAAGCCATTTAACATAGTGATTGAGGGGTGCGGTGGCTCACGCCTGTAATCCCAGCACTTTGGGAGGCTGAGGCAGGCAGATCAGCTGAGGTCAGGAGTTCAAGACCAGCCTGGCCAACATGGTGAAACCCCGTCTCTACTAAAAAATACAAAAATTAGCCAGGTGTGATGATGCACACCTGTAATCCCAGCTACTTGGGAGGCTGATGCAGGAGAATCACTTGAACCCAGGAGGCAGAGGTTGCAGTGAGCTGAGATCGCACCATTGCACTTCAACCTGGGCAACAGAATGAGACTTCATCTCAAAAAACAAACAAACAACAAAAACATAGTGATTGAGAACTCTGGCCTTAGACTCTGATTGATTCGATGTCAAATTACCATTTCAGGAAGTTATATTTAACCCTGAACAAGATACACAACATATCTTACCCTTGGTGTGAGCATTAACATAGAGATAATAACTATACTTATTTCAGGGAGTTTCCGTTGAGGATTATATGGGATAATACATGTAACATGTTTAGCAGATACCTGTCTGACATTTACTGTGTGCTCAATAGGTGTTAGTTAATGTTATTATTAATGTTATTATTAATGTTATCATTATTACTTTATGTAATAATGTATCTCCATCGGGTACAGAGAATACTTGATAAAAATATGAGAGGAAATTTAATGATTCTTTTAAAAAATATGCTAGAGTCACAAGTCAGCACCTAGTGAATGCTAGTATATTCACAGCATATCCAAAATTCAGTTCAATGAAAATGGAAATCCAACCTCAGTGTGTAACAACTTTCAATCTCCAAAATCAATTTTTGTGAGTATGGAGTGATAATCTTTTACCCATGTTTTTCAGAATGAGAGCTTTACACGAGGGTTGTCTAATAGTTAAATCTATTTAAAAAGATATTTCTGTAAACATGCTAAAGTGCTTCCTGTCTCTGATTAGTTCTTGCTGAATGACATGGCATTGCACAGTGTGAGTGCCTGAAACTTAAAATACAGGAAACTCTAGATCATTCTTAATAAATAAATCATGTGTGTTCCTGCCATCAATTCTGCTAACGCTTTTGTAGAAGCCAAAGCTAGTGTTGTGGTAAACTATCAATAATTAGGACCAACCAGGTCAGCTGTTTAGTGCCTTGATGTGACAGCAATATCTGTTCCTGTATATTTTTCTTTATTTTAGAACACTGAAACACATTTTATTAAAAAAATTAGTTCCTAGAATGTATTCATTCTTGTAACCATTGTTTTTTCTATGCGGCAATAAAACATCCATAAAAAGTAAACTACTTTTGAATAGCAAAGATAATCCTGTTGTTTTAGGCATTAAATTTTCTAATTACTTAGTAATATTTGATTGAATGCCTTGTATTGAAAACGTCATTACTTGCCATACTTCTTGGCTGTACCTACAACACTAGTAGGAAAAGGTGAAATCAGCTGAAAACAATAAAAAATTAAAAAGAAAAAAATTTTGATTCTTTATATTTTCAAAAAGAATGCAGTGGTCAACTCCATTCTGGGAGATAAATAGGTTATTATTAAGGAATGGACAAATCAAGCATATAATTAGCAGTTTAAATTCATTTAATATAAATTTACATTAACTTAAAAAACATAAATCTCATATATGCACTTAGTAATAGTTTCCCTTAAAGAAATGTAAAATAGTAACTAAATACAAAATTGGAGTGCTTTCACTTTAAAATCACTTTAAGTGCCTATTCTTATTCACCTCAAAGTGATAAGTTTGCTAAGTGTCTGTTTTAGTTTTGATTTCCACCAAAATACTTTTTCATTTAGCAAGTATCTATACATTTTTGGAAAATTTGGCTTTGATACAAATGTTATTCACATAACAATTCAATAAATATAGCTATGAAGTAAGCACTACACTTTTTATGGGCATACTTGGCTAAATAATCATGTGATCTTTATCCTAAAGAAATTTTTATTAAACTGGGTAAAACAGTTAAGTGAATACATTTTTTACAATATAGTGTGATAATAGCTATGATAAAGGCATTTATGGGATTCCAGGTGAGCATAGAATGGGGCAATAAAATCGTGTAGAGTGGCGATAAAAGTATAGTTAGAATAGAGATTTTAAGAAGAGAATAATAGGATATTATACTAGAGTGTTAGGTAGGCACCTGATTACAAATTGCCTTGTTGGTTAAATTAAAGAGCTTGAATTTTAACTAGAAAACTAAAGAAAATGCATTATATAATTTTAATTAGAAGTAATATGCAAACAGAAATGCACTTTTGAAAGTTTACTCCCATCCTGGGACATGAGAATGAGATCGGAAGGCAAGAGATCAGTTAGGAGGTTGCTGCTATAGGTTAAGTGTGGATTTCTGGGCTTATATTGTAGTTTATAGTGATAACAAATACATGGAGGAGTTGATATGTTTGACAGATCTTTAAAGTATAAATTCATAAATCCTTGGTAAGATGGGTGATGAGGAAGAGAGAAAATATATTAGCACACCTTAATTTTCCCCAAATTGTTCTTCCTTAAAAATAGAAAGACACTAGCTGGGTGCAGTAACTAGCACTTACAATCCCAGCACTTTGGGAGGCCGAGGTGGGCAGATCACTTGAGGCCAGGAGTTTGAGACCTGCTGGGCAACATAGTGAAAACCTGTCTCTACTAAAAACACAAAAGTTATCCGGGCATGGTGGAGCATGCCTGTATTCCCAGCTACTCGGGAGGATATGGCATGAAAATTGTTTGAAGCCAGAAGGCAGAGGTTGTAGCGAGCTGAGATTGCACCATTGCATTTTTGCCTGGACAACAGAGCAAGACTCTGGAAAAAAAAAAAAAAGAGACAGACACGTATTTACATATTTGAGAAGAATAATTGAAAATTGCTGTATATACTATGTTTAAATGAAGTTGTAGATAATACTCAATATTTGAGTATGTATGTATTTATTTACATGACTTTTAGTGCAAATATTATAAATGGTTAAGAACCCTGTATTATTTTCCTGTGGCTGCTTCAAAAATTACCACATACTTGGTGAATTAAAACAACAGAAATTTATTCTTTTATAGCTCTGGAGTCAGGAATTATGAAATCAGTATCAGTGGGCTGGAATTGAGGTGTCAGAAGGGCCATGCTCCCTCTTAAGGAGCTAAGGGAGAATTCAGTTCTTGCCTCTTCCAGCTTCTGAATGCTGCTGTTATTTATTAGTTTCTGCCTACATTACTTCAATCTTGAAAGCCAACCATCTTAAAATCTGTCTTCACTTTGCATTCACATTACCTCCTCTTCATGGGTAATATGTTTCCCTGCCTTTCTTCATAAGGACACTTGTGATTGCATTTAGGACCCACCTGACATCCCAGAATAATCTCCCCATCTGAAGATATTTAAAGGTTTCAGGGATTAGGACATAATATTTATTTTGGCAGTGGTTGGGGAGAAAGCATTAACCACTAACTAAAATGCCTGTTGTTATATAGTTAAAAGAGTAAAACATCTAGACTAGCTATATTTCTTTGTGTCAAACATCAAGTATGCACTGATAGGATTTGAAAAGAAAGAGCTTGAATTTTGTGGAATGCTGTATGAGTCCACTTATGAAAAGCCCTAGAAGAAGCAAATTCATAGAGACAGAAAGTAGAATAGAGGTTTTCAAAGGTCAGGGGAAAGAGGATACGGAGAGTTATAATTTATTGGGTACAGAGTTTCTGTTTGAAATGGTGAAAATGATTTGGAAATGGATGGTGTTTATGGTTGCACAACATTGTGAAAGTACATTTGCCATTGAATTATACACTTAAAAATGGTTTAAATTATAAATTTCATGTTATTTATATTTTACCACAATTTTTAAAAAGCTTGTAGAAAAATTATGTTTTGCCTTGTTAAGAAAAAGCTGACCCAAATGTCAGAACACAGAGACACAGACTTAAGATAAAAAATGACTCAACTTTTTCTCTGCCCTTTGATTAAATCTATAACGCCATCAACATTACCCCAAATGGATATTTTGAGAGTTGATTTTGTGTAAGAAATCGTGGATGCAAGACGGAAACAACTGCCAAACAGTAAGGCAAAAAAATATGAGTAGAGACAAAAACAAAACAAAACAAAACAAAACAAAACAAAACAGAACTGACACCATCTTCTGCTCCAAGTAAGATTACAAAACAAATTTCAAAAACCTGAAAAAAAATGTGATGTTAAAAAAGCGAAGGCAATCAATTGGATGACATTAAAAATATAGAATGAACTGAGAAAAAATAGTTTAAAATACGTATGTGTAGAGGGTGTATACTTCTGGCCATGAAATAGTAATGGGTGCTGTGTTTGCATTTTCTTTTAAAAGAATAAGAGAAAAAAATATGATACACTGATTTTTCAGACTTAGGATAACAAGCCAAAAAACGAATAATTGTTGAAGGGAAATAATTGGGATAGGTACCCCAACATTTTGCTGAGGATGGTTTTCAGGATGCAATACAGGCAGGGAAAATCAAGCAGGCCTGTCTGTTCCTTGGAGGTAAAGATCAGAATTTGGAGAGATCAAACTGATAGAATTTTGGGGGCAGCATAGTTGGGGCGGTGGGGGGAAACGAGCTACATCAACAAGGCTTCAAAGATCTCCAGAAAGTACCTCTTGAATTTTTGGCTACATAGTAATCTACAAATATTAGTAAGAACTATCCAAGGCCAAAGGGAAGAATGACAATAACAAAAATGCTTCATGTAAGGCTGGACGCAGTGGCTCACACCTGTAATCCCACAACGTTGGGAGGCCAAAGCGGGCAGATCACTTGAGTCCAAGAGTTCAGGACCAGCCTGGGCAACATGGTGAAACCCTGTCTCGACCAAAAATACAAAAATTAGCCGGACATGGTGACGCATGCCTGTACTTCCAGCTACTTGTGGGGCTGAGGTGGGAGAATAGCTTGAGGCCGGGAGTTTGCAGTGAGCCTGGGAGACAGAGCGAGACTCTTTCTGAAAAAAAAAAAAAGAAAAAAAAAGAGAAGGAAAGGAGAGAAAGAGAGAAAGGAAAGAAGACCCCATGTAAAACAGTACACCCAACAGTCCCTCTCATAATGCATTTGGATATTTGGATATTAGGTAAAGTCCTCAGAAGTATATCACATTAGTTATTCAGGAAAAATCAAGCCAGAAGACAATGGAGCATTATCTTTGAAATACTGAAAGGGGAGGAAAAACCTGTTATTTTGTTTGTTTAAGTTCTTATTTATTTTTTATTTTTTATTTTTTTGAGATGGAGTCTCGCTCTGTCACCAGGATGAGGATGGAGTGCAGTGGCACGATCTCAGCTCACTGCAACTCCGCTTCCCAGGTTCAAGCGATTCTCCTGCCTCAGCCTCCTGAGTAGCTGGGACTACAGGCATGCCACCACGCCCAGCTAATTTTTGTACTTTTAGTAGAAACAGGGTTTCACCATGTTGGCCAGGATGGTCTCAATCTCTTGACCTCATGATCCGCCTGCCTTGGCCTCCCAAAGTGCTGGGATTACAGGCATGAGCCACCAAAATTGAAAAAATAAAAAATTAAAAGTGAAATAGTTTCCTGACAACAAAAGAAAATTAATCATCAGCAGGCCTATGCTAATATGTTTATAAATTTGTCAGGCAAGAAGTAAATAATACCACATAAAAATGTGGAGCTAAAAATAAGAATGAAAGCTCCTTTCTTTCCTCCGAGAAAGCTAAATACTTGGGTAAGATACAAGAAAACTCAGAGTAAATTAATCATACTGTAAGCAGAAGTCAGGAAAAAAATAAAGATAACAACAGAAATAAATGAAAAGGGAATACTGAAAAAAAGAGAAAAATTAATGAAAACTAAATCTGATTCTCTGAGTAAATAAGTACAATTAATAAACCTATATTCAGAATAGTTGGAACAAAAAAAGATGACACAAATTACCAATGTCTAAAATAGAAGAGACCTCACAGGTATTAAAAAATACTAAGAGAATATTATAAACAGCTTTTAGTCAATAAATCTTACAACTTTCAAGAAATAGATAAATTCCTTGAAAGAAGTAAACTACCAAATGCCACACAAAAAGAGATAAATAATATAAATAGTACCTTGTCTATTAAATAAATAGAATTCATAATAGAATCCTTTCAACCTAAAATACTCCAGAATTTTAGGAGTATTTTAGGCTTCACTTGTGGCTTCACTTGTGAATTCGTCCAAATATTTAAAGCACCAATTCTACAAAATTCTTCCAGAAAATAGAAATGATGAGAACACTCTGTATTTTTATGAGGACAGCATTGCTCTAATACCAAAATCAGACAAACCCATTCCATGAAAAAAAAATTGTCCAATATTTCTAATGAATGTAAACATAGAAATCTTTTTAAAAATGTAAGAAAATCAAACCCATAAATAAATAACATATTGTGGTAGGCAGAATATTGAATCTCCAAAGATGCCAATGTAATAATCTCTGGGATCTATGAATATGTTACCTTGCATAGAAAAAGAGATACGATTAGGCTGAAATTTTTTTTTTTTTTTTTTTTTTTTTGATGTAGTCTTGCTCTATCGCCCAGGCCGGAGTACAGTGGCATGATCTTAGCTCTGCTTCCTGGGTTCAAGTGATTCTCCTGCCTCAGCCTCCCAAGTAGCTGGGATTATAGGCGTGCACCACTATGCCCAGCTAATTTTTTGTATTTTTAGTAGAGACAGGGTTTCATCATGCTGGCCAGGCTGGTCTCAAACTCCTGACCTCATGATCTGCCCACCACGGCCTCCCAAAGTGCTGAGATTACAGGCATGAGCCACCACGCCTGTCCTAGGCTGAAGATTTTTAAATGGAGAGATTATCTTGGATTATTTGATTGAGACCAATGTAATCAGAAGGGTTCTTAAAGGGGGAAGAAAGAGATAGGAAAGAGAGAGAGATGGGAGCAAGGAGAGAGAGTCAGAGAGAGAGAGACAGAGAGAGCTGACTAAAGAATTGTCAGAGAGATGCAAAGTTGTTGGCTTTGAAGATGGAAAATAGAGATCATGAGCCAAGGCATGTGAGTGGCCTCTTAAAGTTACGAAGGGCGAGGAAATGAATTTACTCTTTGAGCCTCCAGAAAGGAACACAGCCATGCCATCACCTTGAATTTAGCCTAGTGAAGCTGAGGTTGAACTCCTAACCAATAGACAAATTTGGATTGTTTTAAGCCATTAAGTTTGTGGTACATTTTAATAGGAGCAATAGAACAAATGATATAGATTTTTACAAATTATGTTCAAGTAGCATATGTGCCAGAAATATAATGTTGGCTCAACATTCAAAAATCAATCAATGTAGTTTATCATATTTACAGACTAAAAGCAACAACAGCGGCAACAATACATGTAATCATCTCAATTATTATGGAAAAAGCATTTAATAAATTCTAACCCACTGAAAATGAAAGTTCTGGGCAGAAATAAATCAATTAAAGGGGATTGAACATCAGCAATGTGGCAGAATAGGGCTTTCTAGAACTTTTCTTTCTGTAGAAATATCGATTTGAACAACTATCCATGCAACTATCTTGCATGGATAGTTGTTCAAATGGATATTTCTGCAGAAGGAATAAAGAAAATGCAAGAAAATACTTTCACAAGAGCTAAGAAAGCCAGGTGAGAGATTATAGCACCTAGGTGTTGCACAGAAATACACACACACACACACACACACACACACACACATTGAAAAGGGTGGGAAAGACAGTTTCACACTATCTGTGTCACCGCTCCTCCAACCCCATGCAGCACAGCATGGAGACAGATACCTTTCATGTGGGGGAAGGAAAGGAATGTGAGTACAGGACTTGGCCTTGAATCACAACACTTAGCTCACCCCGGTAAAACCCAGCACCAGCCAAGCCTCTACAGTCCCGGACTCTAGGCCAGTGACCATGACCTGGCCCTCCATGGTGCCAAGCAGGATCCCCAAGCCTCAGGCTCCAGGCCTGCCTGGGGGATTGGGTCTCCAGGCCCCCTCCACCAGCAGAAATACAATGGAAAAGATAAACAAAGCTAAGAGCTTGTTTTTAAAAATACATATAAACAAAATTAACAAACATCTAGTTAAACTTACTTTTAAAAGGAGAAGAATCAAATAAACAACAGAAATAAAAGGGGAGTCATTATAACTGAAATAACAGAAATACAAAGTTCATAAGAGATTACTATGAGCAATTATATGCCAACAAATTGGATAACCTAGAAGAAATAAGTAAATTCCTAGCCACATACAACCTATCAAGACTAAATCATGAAGAAATAGAAAACCTAAATAGACCATACTAAGTAAGGAGGTTTAATCAGTAATGAAATGTCTCCCATAAAAAAACAAACAAACAAAAAACAAAGATCTTATGGCTTCATTGACAAATTGTACTAAAAATGTACAGAAGAAGTAATAACCATGCTCAAATGCTTCCTAAAAATTGAAAAAAATATCAGAATAATTTAAAGAGGTCAGCATTTCTCTGATACCAAAGCCAGACAAGGACACTGTAAGAAAAGAAAATTACAGACCAATATCCCTGATGAACATAGATGCAAAAATCCTCAACAATACACTACTAAACTGAATTCAACAGCACATTAAAAAAGGTTGCTCACCTTGATCAAGTGGGATTCATCCCATGGATGAGAAGATGGTTTAACATACGCAAATCTATAAATGTGATACACCACATCAATAGAATAAAGGGCAAAAAAATTATTATTCCAACAGATGAAGAAAAAGCATTTGACAAAATTCAACATCCTTTCATAATAAAAACTCTCAACAAATTACATGCAGAAGGAAAGTCCTTCAACATGATAAAGGCCACAGATGACAAATTCACAGCTAACTTCATGCTCAACAGTGAAAACTTGAAAGCATTTCCCTAAGATCAGGAAGAAGACAAGGAAGACCACTGTCACCACTTCCATTCAACATAGTAGCAGAAGTCCTAGCCAGAGCAATTACCAAGAGAAGATATAAAAGGCATCCAAATTGGAAAGAAGTAAGTTAAATTGTCCTTATTTGTAGACTATGTGATCTTATATGTAGAAGATTCTAAAGACTCCACCAAAAAACTCTTAGGAGTAGTAAACAAATTATATAACGTTGCAAAATACAAAATCAACATAATAAAAAATCAGTAATGTTTCTACACACTAATGACAAATCACTTGAAAAAAATCAAGAGAATAATCCCATTCACAATAGCTACAAAAAATTACTAAGGAGTAAATTTAAGCAGGGAGTTGAAAGACCTGTGCCTTGAGAACACCCATGAAAAAAATTGAAGAAGAAATAAATAAATGAAAAAAATTCTATGTTCATGGATCAAAAGAATTAATATTGCTAAAATGTCCATGCTTTCAAAGTGATCTACAGGTTCAATGCAATCTCTATCAAAATTCCAATGACGTTTTTCACAGAAATAGATTAAACCATTCTAAGATTTGTATGAAAACACAAAGGACCTCTAGGGGCCAAGAAAATCTTGAGTAAAATGAACAAAGTTGGAGCTATCATGCTACCCAGCTTCAGGAAGTAATACAAGCTATAGTAATCAAACCAATATAATACTGGCATAAAAGCAAAAACATAGATAAATGGAACAGACTAGAAAGCCCAGAAATAAAACCATACATTTATGGTCAATTGAGTTTTGATAAAGCTTCCAAGAACTCCCAATGGGGAAAGGACAGCCTCTTCAATAAATGTTGTTATCCACATGAAAAAAATAAAATAAATTTGGATCCTCATCTGAAGTAAGAACTGAAATTATAAAACTACTTAATGAAAACATAGAGAAAAACTTCATGGCATTGGTCTGGCAAATAATTTTTTAGATATGATCCCAGAAGTATAGACAACAAAAGCAAAAATAGACAAATGAGATTATTTCAAACTAAAAATTTTCCACACAGCCAAAGCAACAATCAATAGAGTGAATCACATTGCCTTAACCTACAAAATGGGAGAAAATATTTCTAAAGCATACATCTTATAAGGAGTTATTATTCAAAATATATAAGGAGCTCAACTTAATAAGAAAACAACCCAATTAAAAATGGGCAAATAATCTTAATAGATACTTCTCAAAAAAAGACATACGAGTGGCAAACAAGTGCTCAGTAGCACATCAGTGAAAACGTGCTCAATATCACTTATTATCAGAGAAATGCAAATTAAACCCCAATTAGGTAGCGTCTCACACCTGCTAGAATGGCTATTATTAAAAAGATGAACTATAATGTGTTGTTGAGGATGCTGAGAAACAGGAACCTTTGTACACTGTTAGTGGGAGTGTAAATTAGTACAGTCATTATGGAAAACACTATAGAGATTTTTTAAAAATTAAAAATAGAACTACCATATGATCCAACAATCTCACAACTGGGTATATATTCAAAAGACATGAAATCAGTATATCAAAGAGATGTCTGCACTCCTATGTTCACTGAAGCATTATTCACAGTTGCCAAGATTTGAAATCAATCTGAGTGTCCATCTGTTGATGAATGAATTTTTAAAATGTGCTATATATCCGTAATGGAATACTCTTCAGCCATCAAGAAAAGGAAATCTGTCATTTGCTATAATATAGATGAACCTGAGGGACATTATATTAAGTAAAATAAGGCAGGTACAGAAAGACAAATATCACAGGATCTCACTTATTATGTGGAATCCAAAAATGTTGAACTCATAGAAGTAGAGAGTAGAATGGTGGTTACCAGGGGCTGAGGTGGGGTATGTTTGAGGAGATTTGGTCAAATGATACAAGTTTTCAGTAAGATAGGAGGAATAAAATTAATAGATCTATTGTATTACATGGTGACTATAATTAATAATGAAGTATTTTGTTCTTGAAAATTGCTGAGAGTAGATTTTAAGTATTGTCCTAATAAAATGATAACTATGTGAGGTAATGTATATATTAATTAGCTTAATACAGTCATTCCATCATGTATACATATTTCACAACATCATGTTGTACATGATAAATATATACAATTTTATCAAATTTAGAAATAAATTCATTTTTTAAAAGGAATGGGAGTTTTGTCAATTCAATAATGCACATCTACTAAAAATCTGCTGGTACACTTGGTAAAATATTGAATTCTTTAAGCTCAAGGTTGATACATAAGGCAAGAATGTTCTCTCTCACAACTTCTAATCAACATTGCACTATTGCCATTGCCAGTGCAAAAATACCAGGGATTAAAGCAAAATATCATATACTTTGGAAATGAAAGGATAAAATTGCCTTTATTCACAAATGACATAGTTATCTATACAGAAAATCCTAAGGAATTTCTTACAGATCTAATAAGTGAGTGTGTAACAAGCCAGGGAATATAGGTCAAATGTAGGAAATGGAATCAAATTACCATATATTGATGATGAATAATTGGAAATTAAAATAAAAAAATTTTTAAAAATTAAAAATGGCTAACATATTGGAAGTAAGAGATGTAATCACTGAAAATTCTCATTTGAAAAGTATGTATTTCAGAAAAAATGAACCATTTACAAATGAAGACACCATAAAAATTAAAAAGTAAGAAATAAGTTAAAACTGATTTTAATATCTGATGAGATAAATATCTAGAATATATTCAGTTACACACACACACACACACACACACACGCACACACACACACAAATTAGAAGGACAAAAGCATCAAGAGAACCCAATACAAGGTTGGGCAAATGATGCAAACATACAACTCACAGCAAATGAAATAAACAAGACCAATAAACATAGTGTAAAATATCCCATACTGCTGGTAAACAGATAAATGCAAATGAAAACAATATAATACCATATTATTCTCATTAGAGAGACAAAATTTTAAAAGATCTGGCATGTATATGAAGCAACAGAAAGTCATGACTCAGGGTGATTATTGGTAGCTTGTAACTGTTGAAGATATTTACTGATAAAATTTAGCTTTCTAATTTTATGTATAAAACCCAGACTCTAAGACTCTAGCATATGTACAAAAAAGAACAAGCTGTGTGCATGATTACTCATTGAAGGATTGGTTTGGTTTTAATAATGAATGTGAAAAAGTATGATATTATACTCCAGATATCCATCAACAACAGAAAGGATAACCAAAGTGTAATAATGCAACACATTACTGTACTACAATTATAATAAATGAACAAGCAATATGTATATTAATTGGAGCAGATCTTAATGGTATAATATGTAGTGCCAAAAACAAGATGAAAAATAGTACATATAATATGACAACATTTAGATATGTTTAAAAGTATTCAGTATGCAGCTTGATATTGTTTACAGCCACATAGGTATATAGTAAAAGTATAAAAAGGACTCTTCAAAATGAGAATCATCAAATTCAGATTACTGAGTACCTCAGAGGAGAGATAGAGGGAATTAAAATTAGGGAGGAATAGGCAATTAAAAGATTATTTAAAAGCCCAAAACAAATAAACAACATATAAAGGTGTCCTGAACCTGGATTGATTCATAAAATGAAGTTTATAATATTTTTCTCTACACTTTTCACTATATTTGAACTATTTAATGATAAAATAGACCAAAGTAAGGAGAAACTGCTGTTGTCTTTATCAACAAGTTTAAGGTTGATTTTGGGACTTTATTTATTAATTATGTAATTCATAACAGTTTACAACCAAGTGAGACAGCATTGCATGGCAGTGAAACCTATTCTTGTTCAATCTATTATTTAACTGTTTTATGAAATCAGTCCCACTGAGAGTTGTCTAACTGTAAAATTATAACACTTGAGGACAAACAACTAAATGTGACTATATAAAATTTAAGTCACTTTTTGCACAGAAGCTTTTACAGCTGCCTATCTCCATGTGCACTTATTTTAAAACTCTTCGGACTAAAGTTCAGAACTTTCTGTGAGCCCGTCAACTTACTTTCTTCTGTCATTTAAGACAAGGGAACCTGGTTGCATATAAATGGCTTATTGAAAATTATTTTAATATATGTTATACAAAGCACTTTATATGTTTATGTTTTTATCTTGAGCCAAGCTTCTGTTATTTTGCTATTTCCAATGATGCAATGTATGGACATTATTAAATAAGGAAAACACTTTCATCTAAATGTAATCTTCATCATAAAATTTACTGCTGGGAAGTTCCTGTTCCAGAAACCAAAAGATAATGACTGCATGTGGAATATGCTTTTTATTTACTTTCACAATAATTTTTTAAGGTAAATCAGTTAAAAATGTAACATTCAGTTTTATCAAGATGTAAGGTTGCCGTACTAGTTTCATTTGATACCTACTGACATTACCATGCTCTTTAAAAGTTTGGACACTTTTGTTTTAGTATTCTTTTTATCTCCTTATTCTGGGACTTTTCATCTCTAAGCTGGGGATAATAATATTTCCATGATTTCAGAAAGCTTTGTAGTATTCTGATCCTCATAATTGTAATCTTCTTTATTAAAAGAAGAAATAAAACAGAAGTGTGAAAGTGTTGTCCAGGCATTCATTGAATAATTTGGGTCTTTTGGCCTTCCATTTACTAGTAACATATACATCCAAAATTGGTCTCTTAATTCAGCAAATTTTTTTTTTGTGAGAAATTTGTTCTTTCATTTTATTTTTTATTTATGATACTTTAAGTTCTGGGATACATGTGTAGAACATGCAGGTTTGTTACATAGGTATATCTGTGCCATGGTGGTTTGCTGCACCCATCAACCCGACAACTACATTAAGTATTTCTCCTAATGCTATCCCTCCTCTTGCCCCCCACCCCCCGACAGGCCCCAGAGTGTGATGTTCCCCTCCCTGTGTCCATGTGTTCTCCTTGTTCAACTCCCACCTATGAGTGAGAACATATGGTGTTTGGTTGAATGACTAAGTCTCGCTCCGTCACCCAGGCTGGAGTGCAGTGGCGTGATCTCAACTCACTGCAACCTCAGCCTCTAGGGTTCAAGCAATTCTCCTGCCTCCACCTCCTGAGTTAATTTTTGTATAAAGTGTAAGGAAGAGGCCCAGTTTCAGTTTTCTGCATATGGCTAGCCAGTTTTTCCAACGCCATTTATTAAATAGGGAATCCTTTCCCTATTGCTTGTTTTCATCAGGTTCGTCAAAGATCAGATGGCTGTAGATGTGTGGTGTTATTTCTGAGGCCTCTGTTCTGTTCCATTGGTCTATATATCTGTTTTGGTACCAGTACAATTCTGTTTTGGTTACTGTAGACTTGTAGTATAGTTTGAAGTCAGGTAGCATGATGCCTCCAGCTTTGTTCTTTTTGCTTAGGACTTTCTTGGGTATACGGGCTCTTTTTTGGTTCCGTATGAAATTTGAAGTAGTTTTTTCTAATTCTGTGAAGAAAGTCAATGGTAACTTGATGGGAATAGCATTGAATCTATAAATTACTTCGGGCAGTATGGCCATTTTCACAATATTGATTCCTCCTATCCATGAGCATGGAATGTTTTGCCATTTGTTTGTGTCCTCTCTTATTTCTTTGAGCAGCGGTTTGTAGTTCTCCTTGAAGAGGTCCTTCACATCCCTTGTAAGTTGGATTCCTAGGTATTTTATTCTCTTTGAAGCAATTGTGAATGGGAGTTCACTCACGATTTGGCTTTCTGTTTGTCTATTATTGGTGTATAGAAATGCTTGTGATTTTTTGCACATTGATTTTTTATCCTGAGACTTGCTGAAGTTGCTTATCAGCTTAAAGAGATTTTGGGTTGAGACTATGGGGTTTTCTAAATATACAATCATGTCATCTGCAAACAGCAATAATTTGACTTCCTATCTTCCTATTTGAATACCTTTTATTTCTTTCTCTTACCTAATTGTCCTGGCTAGAACTTCCAATACTATGTTGAATAGGAATGGTAAGAGAGGGCATCCTTATCTTATGCTGGTTTTCGAAGGGAGTGCTTTCAGCTTTT
Source organism: Homo sapiens (assembly GCF_000001405.40). NCBI lineage: Eukaryota > Metazoa > Chordata > Mammalia > Primates > Hominidae > Homo > Homo sapiens. The sequence continues at coordinate 80,810,292 of NC_000013.11, forward strand.
GCCCATTCTGTATGATATTGGCTGGGGTTTGTCATAAATAGCTCTTAATATTTTGAGATAAGTTCCATCAGTACCTAGTTTTTTGAGAGTTCTTGTCATGAAGGGGTGTTGAATTTTATCAAAGGCCTTTTCTGCATCTATTAAGATAATCATGTGGTATCTGTCATTGGTTCTGTCTATGTAATGGATTACGTTTATTGATTTGCATATGTTGAACCAGCCTTGCATTCCAGGGATGAAACAGACTTGATCATAGTGGATAAGCTTTTTAATGTGCTGCTGGATTCGGTTTGCCAGTATTTTTTTGAGGATTTTTGCATCGATGTTCGTTGATTTCAGGCCAATAGGCCTGAAATTTTGTTGTTGTTGTTGTATCTCTGCCAGGTTTAGGTATCAGGATGATGCTGGCCTCATACAATGAGTTAGGGAGGAGTCCCTCTTTTTCTATTGTTTGGAATAGTTTTAGAAGGAATGGTACCAGCTCCTCTTTGTACCTCTGGTAGCCAAATTCTGCTAGAATTTGGCTGTGAATCTGTCTGGTTCTGGGCTTTTTTTGCTTGGTAGGCTATTAATTACTGCCTCAATTTCAGAACTTGTTATTGGTCTATTCAGGGATTCGACTTCTTCCTGGTTTAGGCTTGGGAGGGTGTATGTGTCCAGGAATTTATTCATTTCTTCTAGATTTTCTACTTTATTTGTGGAGAGGTGTTTATAGTATTCTCTGACTAGGTCAGATTGATAACCCAGCCCTTTCAAAACACTGAAGCCCTAAGCAGAAAACTAAATAAAGGGATGTACTGCATCTTTATGCACTGTATTTAATGTTTACTAAACACCAATGTTTGATGTTTATTTGTCATTCTGCGTAAATCAAACAAAACATTTTTATTCTTGCTGTTGTGAACAATATGATTTTATTTTTTTTCATACTCAGAGTTGTTGATCACTTTAGTAGCTTTGTCTAGCTTAGAGCAAAATAATTTCTTGGGATGAAGTTAGGCCATTTCTGTGTTCACTTATTTATGGAGTATGTAAATATTTCCAATACATCTGAGAAAGAACAACCTATGCTATTTGCACCTTTTCTAGGGGAAACACTCCCCAGAAAACCCCTTGTTATTAAGGTAGAAATATATCCCTGTTAAGAAGTCAGATTTCACATATAATCCACAATTCTTAAGCACAAATATGTCAACTAGTCAAATACATTCAAAGGACAAACAGATAATTTTTGGAATACAGGATTGCTATGAGCCTGAAAGTTTGTGTGCTCCCAGAATTCATATATTGAAGCTTAATCACCAAGTGATGGTAATAGGAGGTGGGACCCCGTGGAGGTGATTAAGTCATGAAGGTAGAACCCATGAATGGGATTAGTGCCCTTGCAAAAGAAGTCCCAGAGAGCTGTGCTGCCTCTTCCAATATCCGAGGATGAAGCTAAAAGGCACTATCTATGAACCAGGAAATGGGCTTCCATCAGACATATAATCTGCCAGCCCCTTGGTCTCAGACTTGCCAGCCTTTAGAACTATGAGAAATACATTTCTGTTGTTTATAAGCTGACCAGTTTATGTCATTTTGTAATAGCAGCCCAAGCAAATGAAGACAGGACATGAATAGACAACATAAATGTGGGGCATGAAAAGCAATCATGTATGAAAAGACCTATTCATAAAAGATAATTGTCTTTTCAACCAGTGTTTTTCACACTTGGCTCATATTATGCAGTAAAGATACCTGAAGAGATTTTTTAAAATTCTCTGAATATGGACCTTACCTCAGATGTAGAAGATAAAAATCTCTGAAGTTGAGATAAAGATATTTGTATTTTAAAATACTGTGCCAGCTATTTTGGTGCACAGCCAAATTTGGGAACCCACTAACCAAATATATATTCTGGAATATAATCTTATTTTTGTCAAAACCATGAGAGTAAAAAACAATTCTCATCACAATTATAGAAACATTTCCTAGAAGTCAGTTGCAGTCAGCCTGTACCAAAAACATTTTGCATGAAAGTACTTGTGTATGCTGGGTTTCTAGTATACTGATGGACTCAGGTTTGAATAATTACCAAAAATAATTGCATTTCCATATGTAAAATGAATTTTTATCAGCTGCAGAAAAATAAAAGTATATCAGCAATAAATACAGAATTCTGTAACAATAATAAGCACCATCACTTATGCAGTGTTTACTTTGTGCTAACAATACACTTAAAGAACCTCAGAGGTCACAGTTGGTCATGCAGGAGATCCACAAAATCGCAAATAGGAATCTGGATTTGTCCAAATAAAATATATTATCTTGGCTATTTCTGGTTATCCACTTCATCTTTTCACCAGTCTGTTAGTGAGATGTTAGTAAACAATAGGATTATGGTGTAGAATTCTCATATATCATTTACAGTTTCTGCATATTTACACTGGTTCTGTAATGGTTTACTCATGCTTGATTAACTTAACCTTCCTATAAGTTATAAAGGACCCCAACAGGTCATTATTAAAAAGAGTTATCTAACTTAAGTGGACTTCTCTAGCATATTAGTCATGCAGAGATACCCTGATATAGAAAACCAGTTAAGAATATTCCTTACAAAACAGTTTCTGAACAGAGCCCACTATCAATTGAGTGTGCTTCATTTTATATCACTAAAGAAACCTTAGGGTTTTCTAAGGAGCAATTGCCTTTCTACCTGTCCCCTTTTGTCCTTCAGAAATCCCAAGCATCCTGAAATGGTTCTTGTTTCCTCTCATGCATAATTCTGAGAGGATTACTAATTGTCATAACCTATATATGCAATGTTTTAAAAGTATAGGTAGATGCATCTATCATTGTCATTTATTTTTTATTTTTATTTATTTATTTATTTTTTGAGACGGAGTCTCGCTCTGTCACCCAGGCTGGAGTGCAGTGGCGCAATCTCGGCTCACTGCAAGCTCCGCCTCCCGGGACTCACGCCATTCTCCTGCCTCAGCCTCCCAAGTAGCTGGGACTACAGGCGCCCGCCACCATGCCGGGCTAATTTTTTGTATTTTTAGTAGAGACGGGGTTTCACCGTGTTAGCCAGGATGGTCTCCATCTCCTGACCTCATGATCCACCCACCTCGACCTCCCAAAGTGCTGGGATTACAGGCGTGAGCCACGGCACCCGGCCCATTGTCATTTATTTTTATAATATTCCTGAAGACATAAGAAATGATAGGATGAGGATGACAATGTTGAGGATAACGATGATGATGATGATGACAACTACAAAAGAAGTAGAGAAAGAGGGAGGAAGAAGATAAGGTGATGATAGAGAAGAAAAGGAAGAGAGGAGCATAATCTTAGAATTTTTAATTGATTGGTTATTATGAACTAGGTGTAAAGCCAAGCATTTTATGTACTCTATGAAGTAGTACTGCATTACTTCCATTGCCATATGCAGAGCCAGTTATGCAAGTGGCTTTAATAACAAAACTTAAAAAAGGGATGCTAGATCTCGAACTAATGTCTGCTCAATTTTCAAAGACAACTTTACTAGAATTATATGCTTTGGGAAAAATAAATAAACAGGAGTAGAAAGCTCAATTTGAAAAAAAATATATATACTAGTCATTTCAGTCTCTGTACAAAGGAATTCGAGGTATCTGCAAATATGTTCGCTTTTCAAGATACTTAGTAGAAAAGTAAACTGATAGTGATATTTGATAAATATTCATTTAACTGCATTTTCAGAATAGTGAATATACGCCTACTTTATTAAAAATTTTATTGTGAATAAAAAGATACTAGGTTTTCTTTTATTTTGATCATGCAATATTAACTATTAATATTAAAAACAATACTTATGACACCAAGATCTCACCATGCTGTGTTAAAAGACATTATAATTTGAAGTTAAGAATTAGAACATTTTTAATATGACAGCTGGTGGAGTGATGACTATAGTTTGAAGAATAGTACTGATACTTAAAATTTAAAAAATACTATAGAACACTCATGATAAGGTTTTATGTTTGTTTATCCTTGAGGAGTTAGATCTTATTATATACTTACTAAGCATGCCTTTTTCATATTTTAAAAAATCTGTTGTTCCAAAGAGCACCTCTTTAAGACAAGAGAAACTTTTCCTTCTCAAATAGTTCTAGTACTATATCATTAAAAAGTCATTGGACTTTATGTTAAACCTTTTAATTTCTTGACTACCATTAAAAATGTATAATTGGAATTTTTTGTATTATTCTTCCCTTAGAGTCCACAGATACACATTTTGGATATGCCACCTAGAGATGATGTAAGTGTTGTCAAGTTTCCTTTCCTGGATTTTATGTTCTTCAGGATGAGAAACAGAAGTACATAATTTGGCAAAAAGAAAAGTGATTCTCCTTTTGCCTAAGAGGCAAATGTTTTAGTGATGTGCACAATGAAAACACTACAAATTCCAACTGGTATGTGATGCTGTTCTAAATGTGGGAGGTAAGAATGTCTGGGGAAAAGGAATTGTCTGTGGAGGATGGGTGGGTCTGAATGAGTAGGAGTTTGTTCCAGAAATCTAAGAAACAGATGGAGTTTGGATTTGAAGCATGACTTAGATTCAAATGTGCATCCAGAAAAATCCACTGTTCCTCTATTTTTTAATTTTCCTAGTTGAACTCCCACCTTTGATTTTTTGTGGGCTAATGTTTTTTCTGTTGCTACTGTTGAACTTTTCCTGAGCCATTTTTAAAAAATAATTATTCCTTTAATTATTTGATTACATAATTTCTTTTTCAAAATACAAGTAGAAATGGAAATGCATCCTTTTTACATGTACAGAAGAGCTATCAGACTTTGAAAGGTCCAAGTGGCACAACACTGCAGCCTGGACTAGCAGGAGAGCCTCGTTTTGCTCTGGATCTTGCAGAAAGTTGGCAGATTTTTTAGGGTCAATTTCATAAATGGGCCTGTTATAAACAGTGTACACCAAAGTGGGATAAGTGACCTTCCAAATCCAAAGAGATATATGTAGGAAAAAATTCAAATGCCACTAGCTTTTTTCACCTTGAAGTAACTAACCTACAAGTCTGAACTATTGTTCGCTAACAACTGTACAGAGATATCAGGCTCCAGGATTTATTTCTTTGTTCAGAAATGTAATTTATAAAACTCATTCATGTTAACTGGCTATTCTGATTCACCAGGCCCTTTCATCATGATATTATTGATGTAGTGTTTGATCCCTACATGCATAATAGATCCTTAGCCCTGTGTTGATTTATAATAGGAGTCAACAGCTAATTATAATAACTCTCTGATGTATACTGAGAATAACCATAATCTATACCAGCCAATAAGCAATTTAAATGAGAATGTAATAGGAATCCCAATCCTTGAAGATGTAAAAATTTAATGATAACATTATTGATTCCTTCAGGAATATAATAATTGCTCTTAGTTTACTATTTTAAAAAGCTGTGAATTGTCAGTGGTTCCTTATATCTAAATTGCTTTGACTCCCTGAATGGAAAAGGCAACATGAGAATTGTGTCAGTACTTAAAATATTTTAGACAGATTGTTTCTGACCAATATGGCCAACACATATAGCAAATGTGTAACAAATACTGGATATTTTCTACATAAGAAAAATAAATAACTGGACAAAATAAAATAAAAAGATGCTTCTTAATATATTTGATATGAGACAATAGAGTACAATCCTTGAGAGAGAGGAAACAAATGAGGCAAGCTCTGCGATTGCCTAAGTTGACTGATTTGAGAGAATTTCCAGGTAACAGAGCAAGAAGATGAAACCTAGGTAGAGCTTGTCATACTTTCCGTGTTGAGGAGACTTTGCTAGTCATCCAGGAAGAACACGACTTCTAGATTTCACAAGACAGTGTTGGAGATGAGAGTTGCAAAGGGAGACAACTCTAGAGATCTGTAGAAAGACCCTTCAAGTGTTCATCTGAGTACTGATCAATGCAAGTGTATGAAAACTAGTTGAGGCTTGGGTATGAATTACCCGAAAGGATTAGAATAAAAAATAACTTGAGGCCGGGTGTGGTGGCTCACGCCTATAATCCCAGCACTTTTGGAGGTCAAGGCGGGCAGATCATGAGGTCAGGATATCGAGATCATCCTGGCTAACACAGTGAAACCCTGTCTCTACTAAAACCACAAAAAAATTAGCCAGACGTGGTGGTGGGCACCTGTAGTCCCAGCTGCTCGGGAGGCTGAGGCAGGAGGATGGTGTGAACCTGGGAGGCGGAGCTTGCAGTGAGCCGAGATCACACCACTGCACTCCAGCCTGGGTGACAGAGTGAGACTCCGTCTCAAAAAAAAAAAAGTATCAGATTACTTCTCAGTGGCATAGATGTGTCCCATAACAAAGGTTGAGAATATAAGACTACAGAAATATCCAGCACCCAGCACTCAACAAGGTAAAATTCACAGTGTCTGTTGTCCAATGAAAAATTATCAGATATGCAAATAGGCAAGAAAATACAATCCCTAATGGGGAGAAAATTAAATCAGTTGATGCCGATACAGATGTTAGAATTGGCATAAAAGGACACTAAAACAGTTACTACAACCTTATTTCATATGCTCATAAAGCTAGATAAAAAGCTGAATATGTTAAATAATGACAAAAAAGATATAAAAATATAGTCAAACGTCTAGAGTTGAAAACTACGATGTCTGAGAGGAAAAAAGCACTGGATATTACATATTGTAGCAGATTACATATTGTAGAAAAAACCGTGAACTTAAGACATAGCAACAGAAATTACTTAAAAAACACATAGGGAAAATACTTACTTAAAAAAATAAACACAGCATCAACAAGCCTTGGGACAACTTCAAACAACCTAATTAACAATTGTAACTGGAGGCATGAAGGTTGTCAGGTAGGTGAAGGGAAGTGTTAGAAAAAATATTTGAAGATATAATATGAGAATTTCCAAATTTTCTGAACACTATAAATCATGACTGCAAAAATGTTAACAAAACAAAATTTTATACATACATTATATGTATATAAAGCACAAACAAAATTTTATACATACTTCAAATATTTATAAATTTTATATATTATATATATACACATGTATAATGTATCTTGGTGTATGTGTGTGTATACACACACACACACACACAGAGATACAGACACACACACCAAGCTACATCATAATCAAATTGGTTCAAACCAGAGGAAAAAAAACACATTATGTCTAGAACAAAGGAAAGCATGATAGCAGGTTTTTTGTGGAAACAATGCAAGCAGTAAAACAACTGAGCAACATATTTAAGTAATTGAAAGAAAAAAACTTTCTACCTAGAATTATATACCCAGCCAAAATATCTTTGACAATAAAAGTTAAAAAAAAGTTGAAATAATTTGTCACCAGCAGGCCTGAATAACAAGAAATTTTAAAGTTTCTCCATAAGATGAGAAATTTTCTTTTTATTTAAGTTAATGTAAAAAACAATTGATGACTTATTCAAGCATAATAATGTATTGTGGGGATTATAAAAATATAGAAGTAAAATATCTGACAGGAACTGTACAAAGACTGGGAGGGAAAAAAGGAAGTATATTGTTTTAAGTTACTTATATGTGGGATGAAATAATAGTGCATGAAGTCAGGTTATGAAATTTAAGGTATATAAACTCTAAAAGGACCACTAAAGAAACATGACAAACTTATAGCAAACAAAGGAAATAAATAAAGTAAAATAAAACCACAAAAAATATTAAATTAAAAAAGGTAGAAAAAGGGGGCAAAAAGGCTGAAAAAGAGGGAGAGAGGAGCAAAGAACAGGTAGAACAAATGGAAAATAAATAGAAAAATTTTAGATATAGAATCATCACATTAAATGTAAATGGAACAAAAATGTCAGATAATGCCGAAATAGATAAAATGCAAGACTCAACTATAGATGCCTACAAGAAATCTTTAAATAAGGCACACATATGTAAATAGTGAAATGATAGAAAATTATATATCATGATAACATTAATTTGAAAAAAGGTGGAGAGGCTGCATTAATATCTGACAAAGAATATTTCAGAACAAAGAATATTACTAAACATTAAAGAAGGTAACTTTATAATGATAAAGGGATCACTTAAGAGGTCATGGCAAACCTAAATGTTTATGCAACTTGTAATGGAACCTCAAAATACATGAAACCATAATTGATAGAATTTCAAGGACAAAAACAAAAATTGACCATTATAATCAGGGATATTAACACACTTATCTCAATTAAATTGAGATCTCAAAAAATTACCTGGAAAATCAGTAGCTATATATAGGACTTGAGCAGTAGTATTAAATACATTAACTTAATTGACATTAATAGAATACTCTATCAAAGAACAAGATAATACACCTTCTTTTTAAGTCATCATGGAATATAATATAATATGGGCCTTAAAAGAAATCTCAATAAATTTAAAAAGATTCAAGTCAGATAAAGTTTTTCTGACCAAAATTAAGTTGAAATGTATTAACAGATGTCTGGAAAATCCCTGGTACTTGAAAACTATATAACACACTTATAAGTAACCCGTTTGTCAAATATATTTTAAACCAAATAGAATATTTTAAAAAATCCCAGCATATGAAAATTTGTGGAATATTGCTTACTTGGTATTAGAGGGAAATTTGTAGCACTAAAGGCCTGTTTTTATGTCTACATAAGTGTCTCGAATGAATGACCACAGCTTCCACCTTAGGAATCTAGAATACAAAAACAAATGATACCTAATGTAAGAAGAAGAAAATAATGAATATTAAAGTGAAAATCAATAAAATGGAAGATGATTTAAAGATACAGAAAAATGATGAAACTAAACCAAATAGCCGTATACCTATTTGGGTATAGAGCTATTTGAATTTGCAGTTAAAACATATATATAAGAAAACTCTGAATGACTTCATTACAAGAAAAACTTAGAAAGATGTAACACCATTTCTATACAAACTTTTTCAGGAAATTGTTTAGGAAAGTATACATCCGAACTCATTCTATGAGTTCAGCAATGTCCTCTCTTAAAACCAAAGACATTACAAGAATAGAAACTGCAGACAAATATTCTTTTTAAACATAAAATTGTACAAATAAAATGTATAAATATATTAAAAAGGGACTGGGCGCGGTGGCTCCTGCCTGTAATCCCAACGCTTTTGGAGGCCAAGGCAGGTGGATCACCTGAGGTCAGGAGTTCGAGACAAGCCTGGCCAACATGGCAAAACCCCATCTCTATTAAAAATACAAAAATTAGCTGGGTGTGGTTGTGGGTGCTTGTAATCCCAGCTACTTGGGAGGCTGAGGCAGGAGAATCACTTGGACCCAGGAGGCGGAGGTTGCAGTGAGCCGAGATTGCACCACTGCACTCCAAGCCTGGGCAACAAGAGCAAAACTCCATCTCAAAAAAAAAAAAAAAAAAAAAAAAAGGGTAGTACATCATGACCAAGTAAAGTTTATCTCAGGAATGCATGAACACTTTAGCATTAAAATATCAAGTAATAATAACCACAATATGAACAAATGAAATAAAGTGACACCACATGATTTTCTGAGAGACAGAGAAAAAGCATTTGACCATATCAAATACAAATTCCTAACGTAAAACTCTCAACAAAAGTGTGAATAGAAGAGAATAATTCTCAACTTGATAAAGGGGCATCTTTGAGAAACCTACTGCTAGCCAACACCATCCTTACTAGTGAATGACTGAGTATTTTTCCCTTATTATCAAAGGAATGTCAGGATTTCTTCTTTCACTACTTCTGTTAAACACTGTACTAGCCATTCCATGAAGTAAGACAAAGAAATATCAGTTGCTTAGATTGGAAAAAATGAAATATAACTATTATTTAAGATAATTTGATCATCTATATAAAAAATTCTATGGAAGCTATGGAAAAAGATACTAGAACTAATATGTGAATTAATACATTTGCCACATGTAAAAGCAATATAAAATTTAATATTTATCTGTATACTAACAATGACCTATTCAGGAAATTAAATTAAAAATACCATTTAGAATAGCATAAAAATGTGATAAATTTGAGACAAAAATGACAAAAAATATATGAGACATATACCATGAAATCTACAAAACACTGAAAACAGAAATAAAAGATAACCTAAATGGAGAGATACATTGCGTTTATGAATTGAAAAACTCAGTATTGTTATAGTGTTAATTCTCCCCAAATGGATTTATAGATTCAGTGTGATTTCAATCAAAATTCTACTTTAAAATTAATTTGTACATTTAACATACAAGGAAGTGGAATTACCAAAATAAATTTTAAAAATAAGAAGATGGTTGGAAAATGACTACTCCTGATTCCAAAATTTATTATAAGGCTGAATTAATCAAGAGATAGATAAATATATTAATGAAATGGAGAGTCTAGGGCTAGACATATGCATACACGACAACTGATTTTCAACAAAAGTTCAAAGCTCCTTTAGTGGAGAAATGACAGTATATTTAAAGAATAATATGAAATAATTGGATAAGCATATGCAAAAAAATAAACTTAGATCTTTACTTCACACTACATAAAAGGTGTATCAAAATGAGTCATAGAATTAAGTGTATCATCTAAAATTATAAAACTTCTAGAAACAAGAATAGAGATATTTTTTGTAACTTTCATTTAATGAAAGGTGTCAGATGTGTCAACAAAAGGACATCTATTAAATAAAAAATACATGAAGCTTCATAAAAATCACAAACTTCTACTCTGAGACATATCGAGAATGAAAAGGTAAGACACGGGCTCTGACAGCATTTTTGCAAATCACAGCAGTAAAGTACTCATACTCAGAAATCTCAAAATTCAATAGTATGAAAACAAAGCAATTTTCAAAATGGGCAAAGCATCCCACCAAGGAAGACATACAGGGGACAAATAAACACGTTGAAAGATACGTTACATAATTAGTCATTTGGCAAATGCAAGTTAAAACCATACTTTGATATAATTACAGACCTATTAGATGGTCATTTCATACACCTGCATTGTGGGATTACAGATAACAACCATCAAAACTGTTTCAAAGATACTTGCACTGCTTTGTGTAGTGTGCTCCTGCATCCTGTGATGAGGGTATTCCGGGCTTACCAGTCTGTTAGCTTTTGGATGTCTGTGAATGAGTCCCACAAGATGCACTTCTTGCAATTTTTGTATCTTCTAAGTTTTGGGGTTTTTTTTTGGCTCCTTTTATTTATTTATTTATTTTTGACAGGGTAGTGGTCTTGCCCAGGCTGGAGCTGGAGTGGTAGTGCCACAGTCACAGTTCATTGCAGCCTTGATCTCCTGGGCTCAAGGGATCCTGCTGCCTCAGCCTCCCATGTAGCTAGGAATACAGTTGTACACTACTCTCCTACATTTTTTAAAGGAATTTCAAGCATCTCCATTGAGGTCAGGACATGCCAGTTATATTAAGTCAGGTTTTCAGTCAATCAAACCATTGACTGTTAGGTGTTCAAGTTAGCACATTGATTTCAGAAACACTGGTAATTTTACCTGCATTGATAAATTCAACCTAGTCTAAGATTATATTCCTTGCTTATTAGTCTAACATCCACAGATTCTTTTTTTTACATCCATTTCCATGCTTTTGCTAAAACAAATTGCCAATAATATGCACAATTTTTGTGTAGATATTTTTTCCTCTAAGTTTTAATTTGAACTTTACTCCAGGAAAAGGCTGGGATTAGATTCTAGTTATACATGTGAAAATAAAGCGGGGTGGCAAACTGGGACACAATTTTCTTGCTTTTGCAGAGTAAATGCTTTAGGCTTGGTCATTACAGAAACTTCAAACAAAGTAAGGATGACCCATCAGCCAGGAAAGCAGTTGTTACTTCTTTCTGCTGGCAAGAGCTCAGTAGAATTTAGTGGTTGATAGTCGTTGGTTTGATCTAATCTAATCTTATAAATATTCTAATTCTCAGTTTATCCTTTTTCCCAATTTCCCAAGTTCAGCTGGTGTGTTTGTAAATATTATTAATAGTCAATTGTTCAACTCATTTTGCCTTTTCAGTTCTGCTGCAATTGATAGAGCTTAATATTGAATGGTCTTGGATAAGGGCTTCAATCTTATCATTTTCATTCTTTAGGCCCCATACTCCATTATAAAAAAAGGAAGCCAGCACCAGAGTCCTAGAATTTCAGGATAAAAATTTTATTCAATCATAGCAGCTATTGATTCAAGATTTATACTTCATAGGCACAGGAGTTCACAGATAATAATGCACTGTTTTGCCACTGTAGGTCAGGGACTGTTGTCATCCTATTCTTCAATTGTAGCTACTCCACAGTATTCAGATCCATCCATATCAGATTAACAATCCTAGATTCCTACCATTGAATGTCTAATACCTGCAATGACTTTACAGGATCAATATCCTTTAGGTAATTTTGGAAGTTGCAAAAAACTGGTAATTTGCTGGCCAGTTTTTTAAAAAAAGGGAGTTCATCAAAGAATACTGGATATCTAACATGATTATTAGGAAGATTAGAGGAAAAAGAAAACAAAATTTGAGGCTAAACTTGTAGATAAATATCTAAAATTATGCTGCAAAACTTACTTCATAGGAAAATGATTTCTGGGGCTTCCTCTCAAAAGTAAATGTCAAGAAATCAACTTACCACAATCTTCTATTATTGCTACCGGTACCAATGTCACCTCTGGATGGCAAATCTAATCTTACTACCTCTACTTTCAAGTTTGGAATTCCATATTTCAGGTTTACAGAATGGAAAATGGCATATGATATGATTAATAAACCTTTGAAACATGAGCAAATACTTCAAACATGGTTAGGAAAAATAAACTTTTGCCACCCTAGTCCCCAGGGCTCACTCACAATTCTCATTTATAAAGTTAAAAACTGTACTGGGTTCTTGTATTTCCTTCTATAATTTTGTATACAATTAAACACATTTTAAAACATAGGTAGGGTCATATCGTTAAAAAAAAAGATAGTTTTGCCCATAAATACACCATATTTACCCTATAGATGATCCACTCTATTTTTCTACAAGTAAATAGGATTTCCTTATCATACGTGTATTCTTAATTTAGTCCAAAAGTTGTAGAATTTAAGGCTATGACAGAAATAGAGAACTAGTTATCACCTAGAGATCCTGTATTTTAAACCAGTGATAATATGCAATTGGACTTGGTGTTGTTTCCCTTTTGTAAGAGTAGGAACATATTTTCAACTGTCTGAAACTTGAAAATATTATGTTATAAAAGGAAGGGAGCACGTAACTATTGAGTAATCAAAAGAATGGGCTATAATGGGTACTTGTCATATTTTGGCCAGTTAAGTTCTGAACTACCTTCCTGTTCAGAGAAAACCTTTGTTATGTTGGTGTTAGTGAGTGGAGAGAGCATAATCCTTCCTCTTACTCCCTGGAGCTATGCTTTAGAAACATAACTTAGGCTCAGCCAATCATTTGCTCCTGATGTGACTTAGAAATTTGAGAGTGCTTAAAAGACATAGGAAAATTTGGAATTTATTCACAGTGACAGAGATGGAGTTGAGATGTTGTTGATCACAGCAGGAAATGTCATCATAAGAATTTTGTAAATGAAGATTTAATAAGTTCATGTGGATAGACCACTTAGAACACTGCCTTCCACAGAGCAGATCCGAGGTAAGTGTTTATTATTAATAAGTGAAAGAATATTTCAGGTTTTACCAAAACTATAATTAAAAGCATTTTACCAGCCTAGGGATTCAAATTTAAAATCTCTCCTTGTTACAGTAATTTTATGCCTTTGTAGCTTAGTTTGTATTTCCTTGCATGTGAAATAAATATTTTATTAAATTGGATGTTCACATTAACCAAATAAGTCGAAGTATAACTAACCGTCAGTAATTTACTCTTGTGAAGGTCACCACATGATTTATCACTTTGGACGTTTTGTGAGTTTTGAAGGTAGACTTGCAATAATGCACACAGCACTAGTGCAAAACATAGACAACTTTGCTCCATTAATCATCTCACTGGGAAGAAAATAAGAGCTGGTGTGTGGTTCTTAATAACCACAAAGCCAAATGCAATAAGTCTGGTTACCCAGATGTAGCTGATCTGTTCAATTTATTTCACCACATTTAGCTCCTGACCTAATTGGAGTCAGTTCTGGAATATTGTGCAATGCCTTAGGAAGTCCAGGTTGGGGAGTGCTGGTCGCATAGTACACACCATCTACTGCTTTGCATTTTGTTTCTAGGATTTCTGGAATTCAGTGTATTTGAGTACTGCCAAAGTGTGTCCTCAATTAAGATAAATATATTTTATTCTTTCTTTCTCTCTCTCTCTTTCTCTTTGTTTGTCTCTCTTTTCCTCTCTCTCTATGTGAATAGTAAATTTTTTTTTACTTTTTCTTATATGTATTTTATATATATATATATAATTTCAACAGCTTTTGAGTATGAGTGGTTTTTGGTTACATGGATGAAATTTACAGTGGTGAAGTCAGAGACTGTAGTGCACCTGTCACCTGAGTAGTGTACATTGTACCCAATATGTAGTTTTTTTATCCATCACCCCCTCCCTCTCCACTCTGAGTCTCCAGTGTCCATTATACCACTCTGTATGTCTTGGTGTATCCATGGCTTAGCTCCCCATTATAAATGAGAACATACAATATTTGATTTTCCATTCCTGAATTATTCCACTTAGAATGATGGGTTCCAGCTCCATCCAGGTTGCTGCAAAAGACATGATTTTATTCTTTTTTATGACTGAGTAGTATTCCATGATGTATATATACCACATTATCTTTATCCAATCAGTTGATGGACACTTAGATTGGTTCCGTATCTTTGCATATGTGAAGTATGCTGAGATAAACATGTGTGCAGGTGGCTTTTGATATAACTTCTTTTCATTTGGGTAGATACCCAATAGTGGGAATGCTGGATTGAATGGTAGATCTACTATTAGTTCTTTGAGAAATCTGCATATTGTTTTCCATAGTGATTGTGCTAATATACATTCCCACCAACAGTATATAACTGTTCCCTTTTCACCACATTCATGCCAAACTTGATTATTTTTTGAAGTTTTATTAATGGTAATTCTGGCTGGAGTACGGTTTTATGTCATTTTGGTTTTAATTTGCATATTTCCCTGATGATTAGTGATGATGAGTATTTTTTCATATGGTTGTTGGCCATTTGTATATTTTCTTTTGAGAAGCATCTATTCATGCCATTTGTCCACTTTTTGATGAAGTTATTTTTTTTCTTGCTGATTTGTTTGAATTCCTTGTAGGTTATGGATATTAGTTCTCTGTTGGATGTACAGTTTGAAAATATTTGCTACCATTCTGTGGGTTGCCTGTTTACTCTGATGATTATTTATTTTGCTGTGCAGAAGTTTTTTAGTTTAATTAGGTCCCATTTATTTTTGTTTTTGTTGCATTTGGTTTTGGGATCTTAGTAACACATTCTTTGCCTACACCAGTGCCCAAAAGTGTTTTTCCTACGTTCTCTGCTAGACTTTTTGTGGTTTCGAGTCTTAGAGTTAAGTCATTGATCCATACGGTGTTGACTTTTTTAGATGGTGAGAGATAGGGATCCAATTTCATTCTTCTACATGTGGCTATCTTGTTTTCCCAGCACTATTTATTAAACAGGATGTCCTTTCCACAGGTTATGTTTTTGTATGCTTTGTCAAAGATCAGTTGGCTTTAAGCATTTGGCTTTTTTCTGGGTTCTCTATTCTGTTCCATTGGTCTATGTATATACCTTGATGCCAGTGCCATGCTGTTTTGGTTACTACAGCCTTGTAGTATAATTTGAAGTCAGGTAATGTGATGCCTCCACATTTGTTCTTTTTGCTTAGGAATGATTCAGCTATTTGGGCTCTTTTTTTGGTTCCATATGAATTTTAGGATATTTTTTCTAATTCTGTGAAAAATGATGTTGATATATTGAGAGGAAATGCATTAAATATGTACATTGCTTTTGGCAGTATGGTCATTTTCATGATATTGATTCTTGTGGTCCGTGAGCGTGGGATACATTACCATTTCTTTGTGTCATCTATGATTTCTTTCAGTAGTGTTTTGTAGCTGATCTTGCAGAGATTTTTTACCTCCCTGGTTATGTGTATTTGTAGGTATCATTTCTTTTGCAGCTATTGTAGAAGGGATTGAGTTGTTGATTTTATTCTCAGGTTGGTTGTTGGTGGTGAATAGCAGTAATAACTGATTTCTATACATTGATTTTGTCACCTGAGACTTTACTGAATTCATTTATCTAATCTAGTAGTCTTTTGGGGGAGTCTTCAGGATTTTCTAGATGTATGACTGTATCATCAGCAAACCGGGATAGTTTGACTTCCTCTTTTCCAATTTGGGTACACTTTATTTCTTTCTCTTGACAAATCTCTCTGACTAGGACTTCTAGTCATATGTTGAATAGAAGCAGTGAAAGTGGGCATTCTTGTCTTATTCCAGCTCTTAGAAGGGATGCTTTCAACTTTTCTTCATTTTGTATGATGTTAGCTATGGGTTTGTTTTATACAGCTTTATTATTTTGAGGTATGTTTCTTCTATGCCTAGTTTTTTGAGGGTTTTTATCAGAAAGGGATGTTGGATTTTATTGAATGCTTTTTCTGGTTCAATTGAGATGATGATGTTATTTTTGTTTTTAATTCTGTTAATGTGATGAATCACATTTAACGACTTTTGTATGTTGACCCATCCTGAGATGACAACCACTTGATTATGGTGAATTATCTTTTTGATGTCCTAGTATTTTGTTGAGGGTTTTTGTATCTATGTTCATCAGGGACATTGGTCTGTAGTTTTATTGTTGTTGTTGTTATGTCCTTTCCTGGCTTGGGTACCAGGGTAATATTGGGTTCATAGAATAAATTGGGGGGGAGTCCCTCTTTCTCAATATTTGGAAATAGTTTCAGTAGATTTGGTACCATTTCTTCTTTGAATGTCTGGTAGAATTTGGCTGTTGTTCCATTTGGCTCTGGCCTTTTTATTTTTGGAAATGTTTATATTAATGATTCAATCTCACTGCTTGTTATTGGTCTGTTCAGGATTTCTATTTCTTCCTGATTCAAGCTGTGAGGCTTGTATGTTTCCAGGAATGTATCCATTTCCTATAAAATTTTGATTTGTATGCATAGAGGAGTTCATGGTAGACTTGAATGATCTTTTGTATTTCTGTAGTATTGGTTGTAATGTCTCCATTTTTTTCTGATTGTGCTAATTTGAAACTTCTCTCTTTTTATTTTTTTTTGGTTAATCTACATAATGGTATATTGACTTTATTTACCTTTTCAAAGAACCAAATTTTTGCTTTATTGTTCTTTTGTACTTTTTTGGTTTGGTTCCATTTAGTTCTGCTTTAATGTTTGTTATTACTTTTCATTTGCCAGCTTTGAGTTTGGTTTGTTCTTGTTTCTCTCATTTCTTGAGGTATGGTGCTAAGTTGTCAATTTGTGAGCTTTCAGACTTTTTGATGTAGGCATTAAGCACTATACACTTTTCTCTTAGCGCTGCTTCTGCTGTATACCAGAAGTGTTTATAACTTGTGCCACTACTATCATTCATTTCAAAAGATTTTTAAATTTCCATTTTTGAGTTCATTTTTAACCTAAAAATCATTCAAGAGCATATTGTTTAATTTCTGTGTATTTGTATAGTTTTGAGTATTCCTTTTGGAGTTGATTTCTAGTTTTATTCCACTGTGGTCTGAGAAAATAGTTGATATAATTTTGATTTTAAAAAATTCTTGAAACTTCTTTTGTAGCCTATAGTATGGTCTATCTTGGAGAATGTTCCATGTGCTGATGGGAAGAATGTATATTCTGCAATTCATAAGTAGAATGTTCTGTAAATACCTGTTAGGCCCATTTGTTCTAGATTGCAATTTAAGTCCAGTGTTTCCTTGTAGATTTTCTGCCTTGATTATCTGTCTAGTGCGGTTGGTGAAGTGTTGAAGGCCCCCACTATTATTGTGTTACTGTCTATCTCTTCATGTAGGTATAGTAGCAATTGCTTTATGAGTCTGGGATCTCCAGAGTTAGGTGCATGTATATTTAGGATTGTAATATCTTCTTGCTGAATTGATCCTTTTATCATTATACAATGACCTTATTTGTCTTTTTTTACTGTTGTTCCTTTAAAGTCTGTTTTATCTGATATAAGAATAGCTACACCTGCTGACTTTTGGCTTCCATTTGCATGAAATATCTTTTTCTTTTTCCATGCCATTACCTTGAATCTAAAATAATTGTTATGTGTTAGGTGTGTCTCCTGAAGACAGAAAATGTTTGGTTTGTAATTTTTTATCCATTCTGGAAATATGTATCTTTTAAATGGAGCATTTAGAACATTTACATTCAATGTTAATATTGAGATGTGAGGTACTGTTCCACTCATCATGTTGGTTGTTATCTAGGTACTTTGTTCCCTTCCTTTTGTTATTATTTTGTAGGATCTGTGAGTTTCATGCTTTTAAGAGGTTCTATTCTGGTGCATATCAACCTTCTGTTTCAAGCTTTAAAACTCCTTTTAACATTTCTTGCAGGGCTGATATAGTAGTGACTAATTTCCTCAGCATTCGCTTGTCTGAAAAACAATGTATTTTTTCTTCTTTTATGAAATTAGTTTTGCTGGATACAAAATTCTCGGTTGGCAGTTATGCTGTTTAAGAAGGCTAAAGATAGGACCACAATCTCTTCTGGCTGGTAAAGTTTCTGCTGAGTACTTTTCTATATTTATGAAAGAAAGTAATATATTACCATTAGATGAATTCTAAAATTTGTCTCAATTTTTATACTAAAGAGTATACTCTTTGTTTTATAGATGAAGAAGCTGAAATCTAAAATTGGTAGTGAATTGTCCAAGGTCAGATGCATAATAAATGGCAGAAATGTACTAAAATCTAGATTTTGATTCCATAACTAATGTACCTTTCACAATAGTTACTCACTTTGTTGCCTCGTAACAGTGGACACTTTATAGCTCATCACAATGAAGAGTAATTTGAACATCCTTGGATTTCCAATTCTACTTTTTGACTCCAATAGCAATAAAAACTGATATCATTTTATAGTAAAAAACACTATAGACAAAGTTCATTGAGCCCTGATAGCTCCTATTTGTCAATTTTAATGTAGATTTATTATGAATATGATTGCCCTAATGAATATCTGTTTATTGTTGTCAAAGCCACATAATGAAGAACCTGTAATGATTTGGACATTAAGCTGAGTCCATGTTCAATGAACATGTCTAATTTATGTTAATACAAACTGCATCAGTAGAGTTGGAGCCATGGATTTTCGATAAAGCATGAACTAAAGCCAGTATTTAAATTTTTAAACATAATTTGTTTATGTAATTGTATAATGTGCCTTTTTCTTATAAACTATAACTATTAACTTGTTCATTTTTTGAATGTATACCTAAAAAAGCATTTGCCACATGCAAGACAGGATTTGTAAGAATAATATTATTAAGTATTATTCTAAAGTTATATTTTACTACTCTTCCCAGTTTAAGGATATAGTGAGTACTAATTTTTTTCCTGTAAATTTTGTTTTAGCATTTTGGGATATTTCTACTCACAAATATTTACTTCAATAATTATGTCCTTATGTATTTTCTGTTAGTTTTCTGTGACTCAACTCTTTAAATTTCTAAACTTAAGAACATTTTGAGAAAACCACAATTTTCAATTTTATAAAGATAAGCACCTGCTTGTTTGTAAGCTTATGAAAATCTTATACAAAACTTTTTGCTTGGCGGAGATGTGGAGCAAGATGGCAAGTAGAATCCTTGACTGATCATTGTCCCTGTGGGAATACCACATTGAACAACACCCCCACACAGAAAAAAGCACTTTCATAGGAACCAGAAATCAGGTGAGTAGTCCGAGTACCTGGTTTTAACTTCATATCACTGATATAGTCACTTAAAAGAGTAAGAAAGAGAGTCTTGACTTACCAGTACCAATCCTTTCCCATCCCCCTGACAGTGGTTGATTGTTGTGGAGACAGAATCTTTGTGCTTGGGGAAGGGAGAGCACAATGATGGTGGGATTTTGGCATTGAAACTCAGAGTTGCCCTGTCAGAACAGTAGTACCAGGCAGAATTCAGTTGTTTCCCACAGAAGGAGCATTTAGACCAGTCCTAGCCAAAAGGGAATCACCCAACTCAGTGGTCAGAATTGATTTCTAGGAAGCCTTGCCACAATGTGCTAAAGTGTGCTGTGATCCTAAATAAACTTGCCAGGCAGTCTATGCCACAAGGTCTGCAATTCCTGGGAAAGTCCAGGTGCTAAGCTGGGCTCAGAGCCAGTGGTCTTGTGGGGCACATAACCCATTGAGACACCAGCTGGGACAGACAAGGGAGTTCTTGCACCACCCATAACCCAACCCAAGGCAGTGCTGCTTGCAGCTCCAGGAGTTACTCTTGCCTTCTGCTTGAGGAACAGAGAAAGGAGAGTAAAAAGGGCTTTGTCTTACAACTTAGAAATCAGCTTAATCACAGTAGGATAGGACACCAGGCAGAGTCCTGAGGCCCCGATTCTAGGCCCTAGTTTATTGGCAATATTTTTATACACACACTGGGTCAGAAGGAAATCTGCTGCCTTGAAGGGAATTACCCATCCCTGGCAGCATCATCGCTTACTAACTAAAGAGATTTTGGGCCCTGAATAATCAGCAGCAGTACCCAGGAAGTACTCATGGTAGTACTTGAGTGAGACTAAGAGACATGCCAGATTCAGATGTGACACAGAACACTTTCAGCTGTAATGGCTATGGGGAGAGACGCCTGCTTGAGAAAAGAGGAGCAAGAGTAAAGGGGAATTTGTCTTGAAGCTTAGGTATCAGCTTGGCAACAGCGGGGTAGAGCAAAAAGGGAACTCTTGGGGTCTCTGATTCCAGGACTTAGCTCTTGAGTGGCATTTCTGGGCCACCTTGGACCAGAAGGGAGCCCACTTCCCTAAAAGGAGAGTACAAGGCCTGGCAACATTCACCATAAGCTTAACGAAGAGCCCTATGGCCTTCAGTGGACATTGGTGTTAGCCAGGAATACTCACCATAGCTCAGGGGCACTGGTGGTCATGGAGAGAGACTCCTCTGCTTGTGAAAGTGGAGGGAAGAGTGGGAAAGAATTTGTCTTATGGCTTGGATGCCAGCTCAGTTGCAGTAGAGTAGAATGCCAGGTAGAGTCCTAAGATTTCTGACTGCAGGCTCTGGCTCCCAGATGGCATCTCTGGACCTGCCCAGTGTCAGGAAGAACTTGTCACCCTGAAGGAAAGGATACAAGCCTGGCTAGCTTTGCCACTTGGTGATTGTAGCTTCCTCAGGCCTTGAACAAACATAAGTGGTAGTGAGGCAGTGATTACTGCAGACCTTAGGCAAGAACCTGTGCTGTGCTGGCTTCAGTTCTGACCCAGCACAGTCCCAGTGGTGGTGGTCACAGGGGTGCTTATGATACAACTCCACCAGCTCCAGGAAGCTCACCACAGACAGAGAGAGTCAATTTTTTTTTTTTTTTTTTTTGTGCGGGGAGAAAGTAAGGGGAGAGAGTCAATTTTTTTTTTTTATTTTTTTTTTTATTTTTTTTGTGCGGGGAGAAAGTAAGGGAAGAGAACAAAAGTTTCTACCTGGAATTCAGAGAAATTGTTTGGATTATATCCACGACCACAAAGGCAATACCTCTATGGGTCTGCAAGATCCAGAGTGTTACTGGGCTTGGGGTAATTCTGGGCTTTCTCTAATGCAGAAATGGCTTCAGTGACCAAAAACTTAGATCACAAAACCCAAGTCACTTTGAATACCTGGAAAACCTTTTCGAGAAAGGAAGGCATAAACAATCCCAGACAATGAAGACTACAATAAATATAATAGCTATACTTATATCAGACAAAATACATTTCAGGACAAAAACTATGAAAAGAGACAAAGAAGACAATGATATAATGATAAAAGGGGTCAATTTAGCAACAGGATATAATAATTTTAAATATATATGCACCCAACACTGGAACACCCAGATAGATAAAGCAGATATCAGAACTAAAGAGACAGATAGGCCCTAATACAATAATAGCCAGAGACTTCAACACCCTACTTCAGCACTGATTATTATCCAGACAGAAAATCAATAAAGAATCACTGGACTTAATCTGCACTATTGACCAAATGGAACTAATAGATATTTACAGAACATTTCACCCAATGGCTACAGAATATGCATTTTCGTCCTCAGCAAATGGATCATTCTCAAGGATAGACCATAAGTTAGGCCACAAAACAAGTCTTAAAATATTCAAAAAAAATAAAATTATATTAAGTATCTTCTCTGACCACAATGGAATAAAACTGGAAATCAGCCAAAAGAGGATTTTGGAAATTATGAAAACATTTGAAAATTAAATAATACACTCCTGAATGACCAGTGTGTCAATGAAGAAATTACAAACAAAATTTAAAAAATTTCTTGAATCAAATAATAATGGAAATAACATCCTAAAACCTGTATGATACAGTGATAGCACTAAGATGAAAGTTTATAGTTATAAGCACCTACATCTAAAAAGTAGAAAAATTTCAAATAACATATTAATGCATCATAAAGAGCTACTAGAAATCAAAAGGAAACTAAACTCAAAATTAGTAGAAGCAAATAAATAATAAAGATCACAGCAGATAATCAAATTGAAATGAAGAAAACAATAAGAAAGCTCAATGAAATGGAAAGTTGGATTTTCAAAAGGTAAATGAAGCTGACAAACCTTTAGTCAGGCTCTATTAGTTCATTCTTGCATTGCTGTAAAATAAACCTGAGATTGGGTAATTTATTTAAAAAAGAGGTTTAATTGGCTAACAATTTCATAGGCTGTATAGGAAGCATGATGCTGGCCATCTGTTTGGCTTCTGAGGAGGCCTCAGAAAACTTACAATTATGGTGGAAAGTGAAGAGGAATCAGGCTTGTCTTACATGGCCAGAGCAGGAGAAGGAGAGAGAGTGGGGAGGTGCCACACACTTTTAAAGAAGCAGGTGTCATGAGAACTCACTGAATATACAGTACCAAGGGGGGATGGTGCTAAACCATTTATGAGAACTCTACTCTCATTATACAATCCCCACTTCCAACACTGGGGATTACAATTAGACATGAGATTTCGACAGAGACACAGATCAAAACAATATCATTCACCTCTGGCCCTTCCAAAATCTCATGTTTTGTTCATATTGCAAAATACAATCATGCCTTCCCAACATTCCCCCGAAGTCTTAACTCATGCCAGCATTAATTAAAAGTCCAAATTACCAAATTTCATCTGAGACAAGGCAAGTCCCTTCTGACTATGGGCTTGTAAAATCAGAAACAAGTTAGTTTCTTCCATGATAAAATGGAGGTACAGGCATTGGGTAAATACTCGTGTTCCAAAAGGGAGAAATTGGCCAAAAGAAAGGAGCAACAGGCCTCATATGAGTTTGAAATCCAGCAGGGTGGTCATTACATCTTAAAGCTCCAAAATAATCTCCTTGGACTTCATGTCTCACATACAGGGAACACTGATGCAAAGAATGGGCTCCCAAGGCCTGGGGCAGCCATGTCCCTGTGGTTTTGCAGGTGCCAGCCCCTGTGGCTGCTCTCATGAGTTGTCATCGAGTGCCTGCAGCTTTTCCAGGCTCATGGTGCAAACTGACAGTGAATCTACCATTCTGGGGTCTGGAGGATGGTAGTCCTCTTCTCACAGCTCCACTGGGCAAGTGACCCAATGGGGCCTCTGTGTGGGGTCTCCAACCACACATTTTTCCTCCACAGTGTCCTATTAGTGCTTCTCAATGAGGGTTCCGCCCCCATAGCAGGCTTCTGCCTGGACATCCAGCCTTTTTCATACATCCTTTCAAATCTAGGCAGGCTCCAAAGCCTCAACTCTTGCACTCTGTGCACCTGCAGGCTTAACACCATGTGGAATCCTCCATAGATTATGACTTGCACCTTTTGAAGCATCACCCCGAGGTATACCTGGGCCCCTTTTAGCCAGGGCTGGAGCTGGTGAAGCTGGAAAGCAGAGTGCAGCATCTTGAGGCTGCACAAGACAGCAGGGCCTTAGGCCTGGCCCACAAAACTATTCTTCCCTCCTAGGCTTCTGGGCCTGTAATGGGAGGAGCTGCTGCAAAGGTCTCTGAAATGCCTTTGAGGGCTTCTTCCCATTGTCTTGGCTGTCAGTATTTGCCTTCCTTTTAGTTATGCAAATTTCTTTAGCCTTCTTGAATTTCTCCCTAGAAAATAGATTTTTATTTTCTACTACATCTCCAGGCTGCAAATTTTCCAAACTTTTATGCTCTGTTTCCCTTTTATTTTATTATACTTTAAGTTCTAGGGTACATGTGCACAGTGTCCCTTTTAAACATAAGTTCCAGTTTCAAGTCAATTCTTTGCTCATGCATATGAAGATAGTTTTTTAGAAGCAGCCAGGCCACATTTTGAATACTTTGCTGCATAGAAATTTCTTCCATCAGATAGTCTAAATTGTTATCTAAAGTTCAAAGTCCCACAGACCCCTAGGGCAGGGGCACAATGCCTCTAGGCTCTTTGCACAACAAAAATAACTTTTCCTCTAGTTCCCAAAATGTTTCTCATTCCTGTGTGAGACCTGCTCTGCCCAGACTTTATTGTCCACATTACTATCAGCAATTCTGTCACAACCATTTAACCAATCACAAAGCTTCCAAAATTTCCCTCATCTTCCTGTCTTCTTCTGAGCCCTCCAACTCTTCCAACTTCTGCCCATTACCCTGTTCTAAAGCTGCTTCCACATTTTCAGGTATATTTATAGCAACATTCCACTTCTCAGTACCAATTTTCCATATTAATTAATTCTCACAATGCTATAAAGAAATACCTGAGACTGGGTAACTTATAAAGAAAAGAGGTTTAATTGGTTCATGGTTTCACAGGCCTTACAGGAAGCATGATGCTGGCCATCTGTTTGGTTTTGGAGGAGGCCTCAGGAAATTTACAGTCATGACAGAAGGTGAAGGGGATACAGGCTTGTCTTATATGGCCAGAGCAGGAAGAGGAGAGTGTGGAGGTGCTACCAGCTTTTAAACAAGATCTCATGAGAACTCACTCATTGTATAGTATCAAGGGGGAATGGTGCTAAACTATTTATGAGAACTCTGCCCCTACCAGGTCCCACCTCCAACACTGGGGGTTATAATTTGACATAAGATTTGTGTGGAGATGCATATTGATACCATATCACAGGCTAACTAAGAAAAAAAGAAAATCTAAATAAATAAAATCAGAGAAGAAAAAGGAGATATTACAACTGATACCACAGAAATTCAAAGGATCATTAGAGGCTACTATGTGCAAGTATATGCCCATAAGTTAGAAAACACAAAAGAAATGATAAATTCCTAAACAAACACAACCTACCAACATTGAACCATGAGGGAATTCAAAACCTGAATAAATCAATAACAAGAGTTTGAAGCCATAATAGAAGGTCTTTCAACAAAGGAAAGCCTGGGACCCAGTGGATTCACTGCTGAATTTTACTAAACATTTAAAGAAGAACTATAAAAATCCTACCCAACTATTCTGAAAAATAGAGGAGGGAATATTTCCAAACTCATTCTAAAAGGCCAGTATTACCCTGATACCAAAACCAGACAAGAACATATCAAAAAAAGAAAACTATAGGACAATACCCCTGATGAACATTGATGCAAAATTTATCAACAAAATACTAACAAACTGAATTCCACAACAAAGTGAAAAGATTATTCATCATGACAAAGCAGAATTTCTCCTAGGGATATATTAAATTAGCCATATGTATATATATGTAGTATTTTGTAGTTGATTTCTTGCACACAGTTGATATTTGTTACAGTCTGTTCTCATAGACTATAACTACCTGAGACTACCTGAGACTGGGACATTTATGAAGAAAAGAGGTTTAATTGACTCACAATGCTGCAGGCTGTACAGAAGGCATGGTTACGATGGCCTCAGGAAACCTACAATCATGGTGGAAGGGTGAAGGGGAAGCAAGCACTTTCTTTACATGGCAGCAGGAGGAAGAGAGCAAAGGAGAAAGTGTTATGCACTTCTAAACAACAGATCTCATGAGAACTCACTCACTATTATGAGAACATCAAGGGGATAATTTGTCCCCATGATGCAATCACCTCCCACAAGGTTCCTCCTCCAACACATGGGAATTACAATTCAACATGAGATTTGGGTGGGGACACAAATCCAAACCATATCATTCCACCCTTGACCTTTCTAAATCTCATGTCCTTCTCATTTCAGAACACAATCATGACTTCTCAACAGTCCTCCAAAGTCTTAGCTCATTCCAGGAGCTAAGTCCAAGGTCTCATCTGAGACAAGGCAAGTCCCTTCTGTCTGTGAGCCTGTAAAATAAAAACCAAGTTAGATACTTCCAAGATACAATGTGGATACAGGTAAATGCTCCCATTTGGAAATGAAAAAATTAGCCAAAACAAAGGGGCTACAGGCTCCATGCAAATCCAAAACCCAGTAGGACAGTCATTAAATCTTAAAGCTCCAGAATAATCTTCTTTGGCTCTGTGTCTCACATCCAGGCCACACTAATGCAAGGGGTGGGTACCCAGGGCCTTGGGAAGCCCCTCCCCTGTGGCTCTGCAGGGTACAGCCTCCATGGCTGTTTTCACTGGTTGTCCTTAAGTGCCTGTGGCTTTTCCAGGTGCATAGTGCAAGCTATCAGTGGAGCTACCATTCTGGGGTCTGGAGGATGGTGGTCCTCTTATGACAGCTCCACTGTGTCACATAAGCAGTGTCCCAGTGAGGATACTGTGCGGAGTCTTCAGCCCCACATTTCCCCTCTGCACCGCCATAGTAGAGGTTCTTCGTGAGTGCTCTGCCCCTGTAGCAGACTTCTGCCTGGACATCCAGGCATTTCCATGCATCCTCTGAAACCTATGCGCAGGCTCCCAGGCCTCAATTCTTGTGTCTGTGCACCCACAGGCCCAAGACCATGTGCAAGCCACCAGGGCTTGGGGCTTGAACCCTCTCAAGCAATGGCCCAAGCTGTACTTTAGTGCCACCCCCCCACTTTTTTTTGAGATGGTGTTTTGTTCTTGTCGCCCAGGCTGGAGTGCAATGGCACCATCTCAGCTCACTGCAACCTCTGCCACCTGGGTTCAAGTGATTCTCCCACCTCAGCCTCCTGAGTAGCTGGGATTACAGGTGCCTGCCACCATGCCCAGCTAATTTTTTTTTTTTTTTTTTTTTGATAGAGATGGGGTTTCACCATGTTGGCCAGGCTCTTCTCAACTCTTGAATTCAGGTGATCCATCTGCTTCGGCCTCCCAAAGTGCTGGGATTACAGGTGTGAGCCACTGTGCCCAGCCCTACTTTGGCCCCTTTTAGCCATGGCATCTGGAGCTGGAGCAGATAGGACATAGGGTACCATGTCCCAATGCTGCATAGAACAGTAGGACTCTGGGTCTGGCCCATGAAACCATTTTTCCCTCCTAGGCTTCCAGGTCTGTGATGGGAGGGTTGCTGTGAAGGTCTCTGAAACAACTTGGAGTCATTTTCCCCATTTTCTTGTCTATTAATATTTGGCTCTTCTTTACTCATGAAACTTTCTGCAGCCTTGAATTCCCACCAGGAAAAGGGTTTTTATTTTCTACCACATGGCCAGGCTGCAAATTTTCTAAACTTTTATGCTTTGCTTTTCTTTTAAATATATGTTCCAGTTTCAGACCATCCTCTTGGGAATGCCTATGAGCATACCCTGTTAGAAGCAGCCAGGCTACATCTTGAACACGTTGCTGCTTAGAAATTTATTCCACCAGATACCCTCAATTATCTTACTCAAGTTCAAAGTTCCACAGATCTCTAGAGCAGGGGCATAATGCCACCAGTCTCTTTGCTAAAGCATAGCAAGAGTGGCCTTTACACAGGTTCCCAATAAATTCTTCATCTCCATCTGAGACTACCTTAGTCTGAACTTCACTATTCATATCACTATCAGTATTTTGATCACAACCATCCAAAAAGTCTCTTGGAAGTTCCAAACTTTTCCTCATCTTCCTGTCTTCTTGTGATCCCTCCAAATGGTTCTAACGTCTGCTCATTACCCAGTTCTGCTGTTGCTTCCACATTTTCAGTTATCTTTGTAGAAATGCTTCACTTCTGGTACCAATCTTCTGTATTGGTCCATTCTCATGCTGTTATAAGGAAACACCTGAGACTGAGTAATTTATAAAGAAAAGAGGTTTAATTGTCTCACTGTTCAGGCTGTACAGGAAGCCTGGCTGGGAAACCTCAGGAAACTTACAATCAGTGTAGAAGAGAGTGAAGGGGGAGGTGATACACACTTTTAATCAACCAGATCTCATGAGAACTTGCTCAGTATCACAAGAACAAGAAGCACGACATCCTCCCCTGTGATCCAATCACCTCCTACCATGTCCCTCCCCCGACACTGGGGATTACAATTCAACATGAGATTTGGGTAGGGACATAAAGCCAAACCATATCAGTGTTCAATAGGTGTTTATTGTTTTATTAATATACCTTTGCTCCTTTACCTACTTTAATAAATAAGTGGTGTCAGACTCCACTTAATTGCTCAAGAAAAAATATGTTGCTTGATACTTATTTCTGCCATAATTTTGTTGCCTCCTCATATGTAATTAATCACTAAATCCTATGAATTCTAGCTCTTAAAATATTTCTTGAACTTTCTTATTCTCTACACCCCCACCATTAGCACCTTCATCCAAGTCTCCCTCTTCTCTTTTGTGGACAGTAGCCTCATGAGTGATCTCTCAGTACTTAAGGTCAGACTGATATTTTAAAAATAAAAATGTGGCTATCTTCCTAGTCCTTTACTTGACATCTCAAATGATTTTCTTCCCTTTTAAAAAAAATTCTTCAATACTAACATGGCTTAGAAACTCTTTAAGGTCATACTTCTGCTTATCATCTCTTAAACCACTCCCCGCTAGGTACTTATCCCTCTTCTTATTGTCATATGAGGGTACTCACACATACTCTTCTTTCTGTCTGTATCCTTGATCTTCCTCTAATTCCCTCTCATGTATAGCTTTTCCTTTAGGTAATTTTCATTGCTACTTTTTTACTCAGTCTTTAATTAACTCTCATTTTCATTGCACTTTGTTACTTCTCTTTCTGATATTGATAGCACTTACATTATTGCTTAATGTGTGCCTTCATATTAGACTGTAATCTTTAAGAATTCAGGAACCACTCTGTTCTTCCCACTGCTATGCCCCTAGGTCTGTCATAGAGCAGGTGGATGAGCATGAGTTAAATGGTGCTTTTCAAGGAATGGTTAAAATAAAGTGAAAAGTTACATTGAGGGTTTTAAGAACTATTTGGAAAAGACAAAAGAGCAGCTAGTATAAACAAGTTTCTTAAGGATACTGGATAACTTTCTTAAGGATACTGGGCAATGAATGGGATGTTATCTTGAATCATGTGTAGGGTCAAACATTTTTTTTCTTTTAAAGAAAAATGACAGCTTGATCATATATAAGGAAGAAAAAAATTATCCAATTAACTACATTGAAATAAAGATTTAAGAAAGAAAAGATATAATTGAAGTAGCATCTTACTAAGAAAGGCAAGGAGATAATAATTTACTGTCATCACTTTCATCATCGTTATTATCATCATTATTAGAATAAATAGGTTCAAAACAGGCTCATTATTAGAATAAACAGAATGAAGTCTTTGGGTTTCCAAATAGTAATTGCAATAGTTTGTTAAGTGTATATTATCTGACAAAACTTGCTAATTATTCCTTACTACTCTATGAAGTAGAAATTTTTACCTCCATTTTAGCGATGTCGGCATTGAGACTGCAAAACGAGAAAATTTGTCAAGGTCATGCTGTGTCAACACGAATTATCTAAACTTTGTTGTCCTGACTCCAAACCCAAAGCACCAGAGCAAGATGCTGTTTCTCTGGAAAAAAAAAAAATTCTTCAAGACAATACGAAAGCAAAGAAAGAGAAACGCACAGATTTTTTTATTCTTTTGAGTCAGAGAGAAGGGCAATTGTGTAAACTTAGGTTGGGATGGTTTTAATTTTCTCAGTAGGAGGTGAGGTTATGTGCTAAGAGGGAGGAAGGAGGGCTGGTATTAGGGACTTGAACACAACGGAAACATTTGGAACAGCTGCAGGGAGGAATGCAATGGTTAGTCAACAAGTGATAAATAAAAGAATTGCTGAGATACAATGAGGGTCCAGCTGAGGTCAGTTGAATCAGTCACTATTGTTTGGTAATTTGATTCAGTTTGTGAATATGGGGAGAGGAATTGGGCAACAGGAGTTATTGAAATGTGAGGATTGGTAAGGTGGAAATCACAGAGGAACAGAAAGGAGGGAGAATTCGTGGGTTGTAAGTGCATTAGTGACCTGATTAATTTTGTGAGTCTTGGCAGAGGGAAGAGGAAGGGTGTGGTTCAGAGTTGAGAAGAGCACATTAGTAAACTACTGGAGATCACGATAGAATTGATAGATCACAAAGAAAGGAAGACATGGAAAAGCAAGACGTTGCTTCCTCAACCAGAGCAAGACGTTGCTTCCCTAAAAAAAAAAAAAAAAAAAATTCTTCAAGACAATGCAAAAGCAAAGAGGGAGAAATGCACAGATTTTTTTTTCTTTTGAGTCAGAGAGGAGGAAAATTTTGTAAACTTAGATTGGGATGCTATATAGAATTCTCATAAGATATCATGAGTTTGGTACTTTTATTTCCATTTTATACATGAGGAAACGAAAAGTTAGGTAAATTAAATGCCTAGCAGAGAATTTTAATCCTCTTCGTTGTGAAAGAGAAAAGATTCAGGGACACACAGTTGGGTAGCAGGGACTATGCTCGTATTCAATGAGCCTACTGACTTTGATGAAGACCAAGGTACCCTTTTGTAACATGTGTTTAAGTGGTTTATGTGGTTAAATTACTTTATTTAAGATCCATTAGTAAAAAAAGATACATATTTTCTTATATGTAATTCTTATGAAATCCAAGTGTACTACTTCACACATTTCAGGTCATGCAAGCTTTCTCGGGAAGGTACACACCTGTTAATTGTTACTAACACCCTCAGACATATTTTATTGGTTAGGCTATAGTGCTGTTGATTTTTAGTTCTTGCAGCTGGATGAAGCTGCACATTTTGAATGCCTGAAATTTGATCTAAATGGTGTTGACATTACAGTGACTGTGAGTGATGGAAAAGGAAACAAAAAATCTTGGATTTTTTTCCTCTACAGAGACCTCTTCTCCTCAAATTAATAACAACAACAGACTTAGAAAATATCTCTTGAATTTTAGACTGCAGCCAGCAGTACAGCTGCATAGTTATGAGAGGCTCATGGGGACTCCTGCCTTTCAGGCTAAATCCTTCTACTCATAAAAGTACCCCTGTTGTTTTGTTATAGTGTCCTCTATGCTTGTTATTTTATTTATTTTATAAAAGTTAAGTGTTGTGTAGAATATCTCCAATGCCTAACATGCATAACTTTAGGAATCTACATTTATTTTGTTGTGATTTAAAAGAAACAGAAATGGGAAAATATAATTGAATCCAATAAGTATCTATTGACAAATACGTTAATAAGTGAAGCACTAGGTTTCTAGAAAGATTCCATAGCGATTGCAGCATAGTCTCTGTTCTCAGAAATGGTGTGGTTTAGGGATACAGATAGGCATTTAGAGCAACGATTATAATGCGAATCATGAGGCTGCTTTTTGTGAAAAGCTTTTGAGAAAGGTTTTAGTAATATAAAGAAAGGAGAGATGGTTTGTGATTGTCATTGAACTTATTATTAAGGATACGTAAGATAGATTTTGATAGGTAGGTATAAGAACAAAAAGCAATCCAGGTAGACAGCATCTCAGTATCATAGGCAGCAAGCAAGAAAGTGAAGAGAATTTTCATGAAGTAATTGAGACTGCTCTGAGTAGTAGCCCATGTTATATTCAAAGAAACATGAATTGAGGGGGAAAAAGTTGCAGGAAACCAAAGAATGGTCAATTGAGGCCATGTTAGGCATCTCTGCAATACATAGTTAAGGAGCAGGAACAGCATTCTGCAGTCAGTGATGGACAGTGAAAGATTTATGAGGAACTGAGTCATGTAATAAGGTATATTTCTTTATTTTTAAAGCTTTTTATTGAAGCATGATTGATATATAAAATGCTGTCGATATTTCATATATATATACAACTTGATATGTTTGAAAATAAGTAAGCACCTGTGAAACACTGCCACAATAAATGTAATAAATGTACCCATTACCTCCAAAAGCTTCCTTCGGTCTGCCCCTCACTTTCAGTTGAGTTTTTTTTTCTTTTTTGGTAAGAGCACTTAAGATGAGATTTATCCCCTTAGTAAATGTTAAGTATACAATACTTAAGCCAGAGGTTAATCATAGGTCCTACATTGTACAGTATATCTTCCGAACTTACTTATCTTGCTTATCTGAAATGTTATAACCTTTGATCAACACCTTCTCATTTCCACCTACCTCAGTGCCTGGCAACCACCATTCTACTCTCTGCTTCTATGAGTCTGGCTATTTTAAAATTCCACATATGACTGAGATAATGCAGAATTTGTCTTTCTATTCCTGGCATAATGTCCACGAGGTCCATCTCTGTTAAATAATTGATCCTATTTAACGAAAAAGATTCTGAATGAAGGAAAAAGAAGCGAGATGGTCTAGTCATCTTGTCACTTCTCTTTCTGGCAATAAAGCAAACCTGGTACCTGACTGACTTTCCCACTAACAGCAACGCAAAAGCTGGTGTATGTGTGTGTGTGTGTGTGTGTGTGTGTGTGTGTGTGCACGTGCATGTGTATCAGAGATACGAAATCTGTTTATCTTTCATCACTGATGGGACAAGACAGAACTAATCCCACAGAGAATAAAAATGAAATGAAGAATATCTAGAAGCTATAAAACCATCCAAGTTTGCTTTTGCATTCATAGTTACTGAAAAAAAAAGCCTAAATAACTCGAATTTCTGCTCTGACAGATGTTTGGGATGAGAGTAGGGAGATAAAGTCTATGAAGGCTGAGGAGACCAAATAAGAGACTCCTCATATAAAGCTGGAAAATGATTTTTATTGGCATTATGAAGATGAAAGGGAATAAAACTAAGCAGAAAGTTACAGCAAAACCAAACAAATAATGTAACAGCTAAAACCTCTGTTAAACTTGGCATTTGGAGGAAAGAAAAACAGTCAACCTCACTTCATGTTGTGTTAATACAGGTATCTCTATGGTAAGAAAAACTTAGTCACTCAAGAGATTTTAGGTTGGTGGTTTCTTCTTGCAACAAGTGGTCCTAACTTTAAGAAAATATTTCTAACATCTAAAAAATTTTTAAAAATAATTTTACTCCCAAATCAGGCATAACTTTGATAAAATGACCAGGGCAGTTTAAGAAAAAAAGATCTTTCTTATAAAAAAAGTCTTAAGCCAAATAATATCAAAGAAAAGTAGCACAGTCTAAAAAAATAATGATTCAGAATGAGCCAGTTGCGTTTACCCCATAAATGAAAGCATGAATTAATGCAGGAGATACTTTGTTATTACAAAGGTTGGGTATTCACTGATTTATGTATGTGTGCATTCCTTCATATCAGTGTCTATATCCATACAAATATTATATAGACATTGAGTACCTCTTACCTTTAAGATACTGTGTGAAATATTTTATCATATATAAAAATGGATGATTGGACTCTATACTAAAAGATGTTATATAATCTAGTAGCAGGAAAAAAATTGATTAGTGTAACTCATCATGCATGTTAAGGGTATTTATTGTTTCATGATAATTAATTTCTCCATATTCCATATATAATATATAGATATATAGATATAGATATATGTGCAATTTTTATCTAAACATAGGCATTCCAAGAAGTACATTTTTTAAAAAATGTGGGCATGTGCTTTCCAAGAATAGTACACTACATTCCCCAGACTTGTTTGCAAATACATACTGCCATGGGACTAAATTCTGGCCAAAAGGCTGTGAAACAGAATGATGTATGTAACTGTTAGTTCTCTTAAATGGTAAGAAGCTTACCTGATTTCATTCTGTTTTCAATTTATGCTTATAGAAATGTTGAAATTATGTATAATGCCCTTAGAAACAATATAAATATGAAGCCACAACAACGCAGAAGGAGTCTGGAGCACATTCTGTATAAGACTTGCACTCTTCATACTGGCCTATTAAATAAAAGTAAACTTTGATCTTGAACCCATTCTTACTTGAGATTCTTTTATCGTTGTTGAATCTATATCCTAATATGCCATATTAAAGGAAAATCCATACAATAATTTCAGTAGATAAAGAAAAATTATTTAGAATGTTTCACTAAAAAATTATCAAATTGGGAATGGAAGAAAATTTTATATCCCAGTAAAAGGCATAAAAGCGTCTGCAACATCCATGATCATATTATAATTAAGATGAAATGATGTTAGCATCCTCATTAAGAATTTGATGGATTAAAGATCATCATAAATTGTTAGTCATCCTTCCTATTAAGAGCTGGTTCTTTCTTGCCTTGAATCTCGTTAGGCTCTGTGAAGAATATGCCAGAAGTGATGCCGCACCAGCTTCTGAGCCTAGGCCTTAAGAAATTAGCAGTTTCTACTTCCTATTTCTTGCAGTGTTTTCTTTCGGAGCCCTGGTCATCAGATACAAAGTTTAAGGATACTGAAGACAGCTTACTGGGAAAACCATGTGTAGATACTCACATTGAGTCTCAGATAAGCCCAGCTGTTCATTCATTGCTGGCAAAACTCCAGGCCTGTGAAGCCATTATGGACATTCCAGACTAGCCCATCTAATAGCTGAATATTAATGAGTGGCCACAAATGAAAATACATAGGGCCAAGAATCACATAGTCAAGTCCTCAATATACTCTTAAGAAGAATAGAGGCCGGGCGCGGTGGCTCACGCCTGTAATCCCAGCACTTTGGGAGGCCGAAGCGGGCAGATCACTAGGTCAGGAGATCGAGACCATCCTGGCTAACACGGGGAAACCCCGTCTCTACAAAATAATACAAAAAAATTAGCCCGGCGTGGTGGCAGGCACCTGTAGTCCCAGCTATTCGGGAGGCTGAGGCAGGTGAATGGCGTGAACCCAGAAGGCAGAGTTTGCAGTGAGCAGAGATCACGCCACTGCACTCCAGCCTGGGTGACACAGCGAGACTCCATCTAAAAATAAAAAATAAAATAAAAAGTGCCTTTACTTGCCAAATAATTTTTTTTAAAAAAATTAACAGATTTTATTACTTATCACTGTTTTAGATTGATGGGAAAATGGAGCAGATAGTATGAAGAGTTCCCATGTATTTTCTTTTCCGTATGCTTAATGTAGCACATTTGTTGTAATTAATGAATCCATTATTAACTAAAATTCTTTGTGTTGTACAGTTAAATGGATTTTGACAAATGCATAATGCCATGTATTCACAATGAAAGTATCATATAGAATTGTTTTACTGTCCTAAAAATTCCATCAATTTCCACTCCCCTCCCCAGAACTCTTAGCACCCCCACTAATCTTTTTGCTACCTCTACAGTTTTTGCCTTTTCCAGAGTGTCATAACATTGGAGAAATGCCGTATATAGTATTTTCAGATTGGCTTATTTTACTTAGCAATATGCATTTAAGTTTTCTCCAGTGTTTTCATGGATTGAAAGCTCATTGATATGATTTGGCTGTGTCCCCACCCAAAATTAAACTTGAATTGTATCTCCCAGAATTCCCACATGTTGTGGGAGGGGCCCAGGGGAAGGTAATTGTATCATGGAGGTTGGTCTTTCCTGTGCTATTCTTATGATAGTTAATAAGTCTCATGAGATCTGATGGGTTTATCAGGGGTTTCCACTTTTGTTTCTTCCTCATATTTTCTTGCTGCTGCCATGTAAGAAGTGCTTTTTTGCCTCCCACCATGATTCTGAGGTCTCCCCAGCCATGCAGAACTGTAAATCTGATTAAACCGCTTCTTTTTCCCACTCTTGGGTATGCCTTTATCTTCAGCGTGAAAACGGACTAATACACTTATATCTTTTAATCACTGAATAATATTCCATTTTATGAATGTACCACAGTTCAGCCATTCACCTATTGAAGGACATCTCATTTGCTTCCAGATTATGGTGCTTATGAATAAAGGTGCTATAAATTGTGTGAAGGTTTTTGTGAGAACCTAAGTTTTCAACTCAATTAGGTAAATACCTAGGGCATAATTATTTAATCCTATGCTATAACTATGCTTAGCTATGGGAGAAACTGCCAAAGTGTCTTGCAAAGGAACTGAAGCATTTTGAATTCTCACCAACAATGAAAAATAGTTCTGGTTGCTCTGCATCTTCACTAAAATTTGATATTGTTACTTTAATTTTTTGCCATTTTAATATATGTGTAGTGGTGTTTCATTGTTTTAATGTACAATTTGCCAGTGACATGATGTTGAGCATCTTTTCATGTTTGCTACATACGTATCCTTCCTTTGTGAGGTGTTTGTTCAGATCTTTTGCCCATACTTAGACTGAGTTTTTTGTTTTCTTACCATTAAGTTTTGAGAGTTATTTGTATACTTGGATGCAAGCCCTTTATTAGATTAGTTTTGCAAATAATATTTCACATTCTGCAGCTTGCTTTTTAATTCTCCTAACAGCGTTTTTTTTTTTTTCAGAGAAAAAAGCATTAATAAAGTTCAAATGGTCAATTTACATTTTTCTGTGGTCTATTTTGAATCTTTCTTGTTGGAAAGTATAAAGACTACATCTAAATTCTTTTTTTCCCCTTTTTTTGTCAGTAGATGTCCAATTGTTCCAACATCGTATGTTGAACATACAATTCTTTCTTCATTGAATTTGTGTGTTGGTCAACAATTAGATTTGTGTGGGTCTATTTCTTGGTTCTATATTCTGTTCCACCAATCCACTTATATACTTATTAGCCAGTATCATGATGTTTTGACTATTATAGCTTTATACTAAGACTTGAATTGGTTACTTCAGTCCTCTGACACTGTTCATCAGTATTATGTTGGCTATTCTACTTCTTCTGCCTTTCCATATAAACCTTAGTGCAGCTTGTCAATATCCACTAAGTACCTTGCTAAAAATTTGAATGGGATGGCATTGACTCTACAGATCATTTTGTGAAAAACTGACATCTTAACAGTATCAGGTCTTGGTATCCACAAGCATGTACTGTCTCTCTATTTATTTAGATTCTTCATTTCTTTGATCAATTTTGTAGTTTCTTCAAAAAGATCCTGTACATATTTGTAAGATTTATTCCCAAATATATCTTTTGTGAGTGTGTGTTTATGTGCTAATGAAAATGGTATTGTGTTTTTAATTTAAATTCTAATTGTTCTTTGCCGGTATATTTTGATTGACTTTTGTGTAATAACCGTGGATCCTGTGACTGTGCTATATTTGTTTATTAATTCCAGATTGATTCTTTCGGATTTTCTGTATAGACAATCATGTCATTTGTGAATAAAGGCAGTTTTTCTCTTATTTCATAATTTGTGTATCTTTATTTCTATTTTTTATATTAGTGCACTGGCTAGGACCTCTCGTACAATATTGAAAAGAAGTGGTGAGGAGACAGTCTTTCTTGATCTCCATTTTAGGGTAAAAGCATCTAATTTCTTGCTGTTATGTGTGATGTTTGGTGTAGGTATTTTATAGGGTTATTTTTTTTTTACTTTAAGAAAATTCTCCTCTATTTGTAGTTTGTGAAGAGTTTTTCTCCCTCCTTTTAATTGACAAGTAATAATTGTACATATTTATAGTGTACAAGATTTTGTCTTGATTCATGTATACATTGTGGAATGGCCAAATCAAGCTATTTAACATATATATTACTTCACGTGACATTTGTGTGTGTGTGTGTGTGGTGAGAACACTTAAAACCTATTCTCTTAGCAGTTTTCAAGTATACAATATGTTATTAATTTAGTCCCCATGATGTACAATAGGTCTGTTGAACTGAAATTATTTTGTCCTTTGAACAGTATCTCCCCAATCTCTCCTGTCTCTAACATTTGGTAACTACCATTTACACTCCATATGTAAGAGACATCATACATTATTTATCTTTACGTGCTTGAGTTATTTCACTTAACCCAGTATCCTCCAAAGGGCACAAAGGGCAGGATTGCTTTTCATTTCTTTCTTCCTTTCTTTCTTTCTTTCTTTCTTTCTTTCTTTCTTTCTTTCTTTCTTTCTTTCTTCTTTCTTTCCTTTCTTTCCTTTCTTTCTTTTTTTTCTTTTTTGAGACAGAGTCTTGCTCTGTTGCCCAGGCTGGAGTGCAGTAGGGTCATCATAGCTTACTGCAACCTCTAACTCCTGGGCTTAAGCAATCCCCCCACCTCAGTCTCCTAAGTAGCTGTGACCACAAGTGCACAGCACCACACCCAGCTAATTTTTGTTTTATTCTTCTTTTTATTTTTTTTGTAAAGACAGAGTTTCACTAATTTGTCCAAGCTGGTCTCAAACTCCTGGACTCAAGCAATCCACCTACCTTGGCCTACCAAAGTACTGGAATTACAGATGTGCACCACCACATCTGGCTAGGATTTCCTTCTTTTTGAAAGCTAAATATTATTTCATTGTGTATGTATATCACATATTAAAATCCATTCATCCATTCATGAATACCCAGGTTGATTCTATTTTTTGGCTATTATGAATAGTACTGCAGTCAACATGAGAGTGTAGCTGTATCTTTGACATACTGATTTCATATCCTTTAGACATTTATTCAGTAGTGGGATTGCTCTATCATATGGTAGCTCCATTTTTAATTGTTTTGAGGAATCTCTATACTGTTCTCCATAATGGCTTTACAAACTTACATTTCCACGGTATGCAGATTATTTTTTTCACATTTTCACCAACACTTACTGTCTTTCATCTTTTTGATAATGGCCATTCAAATAGGTGTGAAGTAATATGACCCTGTGGTTTGGATTTGTATTACCCTGCTGATTAGTTATGTTACCTGTTAGCCATTTGTATGTACTCCTTTGAGAAATGTCTATTCAGGTACTTTGTCCATTTTTAAAAATTGGGAACTTATTTTCTTACTACTAAAGTGTTTGAGTTCTTTATATATTCTGAATATTAACACCTTATCAGATGTATGATTTGCAAATATATTCTTCCATTCTGTAGGTTGTCTGTTCATCCTGTTGATTGTTTCCTCTGCAGTGATGAAGTGTTTTAGTTTGACGTAATCTAATTTATCTATTTTTGCTTTTGTTACCTGCGTTTTAGGGGTGATATACAAAAGAAATCATTGTCTAAACCATGTCATGAAGCTTTCCTCTATGTTTCCCTCTGGTAGTTTTGCAATTTCAGGTTTTACGTTTAAGTTTTTAATCCATTTTTATTTGATCTTTGTGTATGGTGTGAGATGAAGATCTAATTTCATTTGTCTTCATTTAATGGTTGAACTCCATTTATTGAAGAGATTATACTTTCCCCATTATTTGTTCTTGGTATCTTTGTCAAAAAATCAATTGACTGTAAATGTGTGAGTTTATTTCTGGACTTTCAATTTTGTTCCATTAGTTTATGTGTCTGTATTTATGGCAGTATCATACTCTTTTGATTACTATAACTTTGTAGGAGACTTTAAAGTCAAGTAGCGTGAAGGCTTCTGCTTTGCTTTATTGCTCAAAATTGCTCTGGCTATAAGAGTCTTTTGTAGTTTCGTACAAATTTTAAGATTGTTTTACCTATTTCTGTGAAAAATGTCATTGAAATTTTGATAGGAATTGCAATGAACCTGTAGATCGTCTTGGTAGTATGGACATTTTAATGATATTAATTCTTCTAATCCATAAACAATAGGTATGTTTCCATTTATTTTATTTATTTGTGTCTTTTTCAATTTTTCTATTCAATATTTTCTAGTTTTTTTAATGAAGCTCTTTTACCTCCTTGGCTAAATTTATTCATAAGTATTTTTGTAGCTATTGTAAATGGGATTGTTTTCTTGAACTCTTTTTCAGAGTTTGTTGTTAGTGTATAGAAATGCTACTGATTTTTGTACATTGATATTTTATACTGCAACTTTACTGATTTGACTAATTAATTTATTACTCTAACCATTTTTGATGGAATCTTTAGGGTGTTATATATACAGTCACATATCCACATAACAATATTTCTGTCAACAATGGACTGCATATATGATGATTGTCCCATAAGATTATATTGGAGCTGAAAAATTCCCATTGCCTAGTAAAACGGTAGTGTTTGTAACATTGTAGCCCAATGCATTACTCAAATATTTATGATAATGCTGGTATAAACAAATCTACTGCATTGCCACTTGTGGAAAAGTATAATTATGTGTAGTACAGAACATTTGACAATGCTAATAAATGAATGTTACTGGTTTACGTATTTACTATACCATACTTTTATTGTTATTTTAGTGTGTGCTTGTTCTACCTATTTTTTCAAAAGTTAACTGTAATACAGCCTCAGGCTATTACTTCAGGTGGTATTCCAGAAGGCATTGTTATCATATAAGCTATCATCTCCTGCTGGAAGCTCCGTGTTATTGCCCCTGAAGACCTTCCAGAAAGACAACATGTGGAGGTGGAACACACTGATATTGATCCTGACTCTGTGAGGTCTGGCCTAATGTGTGTGTTTATGTCTTAGTTTTTAAAACTTTTAAAAGTTTTTTATTGTTCATTTGTTTGTTTTTTACTTTGTAAACCTTTAAAAAGTAAAAAATGGTTTAAAAAGTAAAAAAAAACTTTTAAAATAGAAAAAGCTTATAGAATGAGAATATAAGGAAATAAACAATTTTTGTTAAACCAGTACAATGTGTTAAAATTACACATTTTATACAATTTACACATTTTAAACAATGTGTAATTACAAGAGTAAAAAAATCAAAAGTTAAAGTAAAAACATTACAGTAATCTAAGGCTAATTTATTATTTAAGAAATACATTTACAAAATAAATTTAGTGTAGCCTAAGTGTACACTGTTTAGAAAGTCCACAATACTGTTCAGTAATGTCCTAGGCCTTCACATCCACTTTTCACTCATTCAGAGTAATTTCAAACTCAGAGTAACTTCCAATCCCACAAGTTGCATCCATTGTAAGTGCCTTATATAGGTGTTTAAGTTTTTACCTTCTCTACAATAATTTTTCTGTACTTTGTTTAGTTATGTTTAGATACAAAAATATTTACCATTGTGTTATTATTGCCCACATTATTTAGTACAGTCACATGTTATACCATTTTGTAGACTCAGAGCAATAGGCAATACCATATATTCTGGGTGTGTAGTAAGCTATACCATCTAGATTTGTGTAGGTACCCTCTATGATGTTTGCACATGACAAAATCACCTGATAATGCATTTCCCAGAATGTATCCTTGCATTAAGGTACTGATTATGGTATAAAGGCATGCTGTCCGTAGAGACAATTAACTTTTTCCTTTATAATTTGGGCCTTTTTTTTTTCTTGCCTAATTGCTCTGGTATGACTTCTAGTACTATGTTGAATAGAAGTGAGGAGAGATTGCATCTTTTTCTTGTTCCTAATATTACAAGAAAAGTTTTCAGCCTTTCATCATTGAGTATAATGTTAGCTATGGGCTTGTTGTTTTAGCCCTTATTGTGTTGAGTTACATTTTACTCTAGCTCTTTTGTTGAGAGGTTTTTTCCCCTAAAAGAATATTAAATTTTTTCAAATATTTTCTCTGCATCTGTTGAAATGATCATATGTTTTTTGTCCTTCATTCTGTTGATGTGGTGTATCCCATCTATAGATTTATGCATGTTGAGACCTTCTTGTCTCTGTGGAATACATCTCAGGTGATCATAGTGAATGATTTTATTTTATTAACAGGCTGTTGAATTTGGTTTGTTAGTATTTTATTCAGGATTTTTGCATCTATGTTCCTTAGGGATATTGGCCTGTAATTTTTTTTTTCTAGTAGTTTCTTTTCTGGCTTTGGTATCAGAGTAATGCTGGCTTTGTAAAATGAGTTTGCAAGTATTATCTCCTCTCTAATTTAATGAAAGAATGTAAGCATGATTAGTTCTTCTTTAAATGTTTGTTAGAATTCAGCTGTGAAGGCATCCAGTTCTGCCCTTGTCTTTGATAGGAAACGTTTTATTACTAATTCCATCTCCTTACTCAGTATTAATCAGTTTGAATTTTTTATTTCTTCATGATTTAGTCTTGATAGGTCTAGAAATGTATCAGTTTCTTCCAGGTCATCCAATTTGTTATATAGTTGTTCACAGTAGTTTCATGACTTTTGTATATGTGTAGTTTTTATTGTAATGGTTCCTCTTTCATTTCTAATATTTTAAACTAGATTTTTCTTTTTTTTTAGTTTAGCTAAAGGTCTGTCAATCAGGAAAATAATTCTATCTTTTTGATTTAGGCATAACCTTCCCCTTTATCAACATCCCCCACTACAATTGTACATTTATTGCAATTGATGAACCTGTATTGACACATCATAGTGATCCCAAATTTGTAGTTTACGTTAGGGTTCTTCACTCTTGATGTTGTACATTTTATGAGTCTGGACAAACGTATAATGACATGTAC
Organism: Homo sapiens; assembly: GCF_000001405.40. Lineage (NCBI taxonomy): Eukaryota > Metazoa > Chordata > Mammalia > Primates > Hominidae > Homo > Homo sapiens. The sequence continues at coordinate 80,853,007 of NC_000013.11, forward strand.
CCACAATTATAGCATCATACACAGTAGTTTCACTACCCTAAAAATACTTGTGCTCTGTGTATTCATTCCTCATTCTTCACTAGCTTCTGAAAACACTGATCTTTTTACTGTCTCCGTAGTTTTGTGTTTTCCAGAATGTCATATAGTTGGAATCATATAATATATAGCCATTTAATATTGGCTTATTTTACTTAGTAATAGGCATTTAAGTTTCATCCATGTCCTCTGGCTCATGTCTGTAATCCCAGCACTTTGGGAGGACAAGGAGGACAGATCGCTTGAGCCCAGGAGTTTGAGATCAGCCTGGATGACATGGCGAGATCACCGTCTCTACCAATAAAAAAAAAAAAAGTTTCATCTATGTCTCTGATAGCTTATTTGTTTAGTACTGAATAGCATTCCACTGTCTTGATGTACCACAGTTTATTCATTTACCTACTGAAGAACATCTTGTTTGCTTCCAAGTTTTGGCAATTATGAATAAAGCTGCTATAAACATCCATGTTCTGATTTTTGTGTGAACATATGTTTTCAGCTTTTTTTCGGTAAA